>NW_016107304.1:0-241058 GCF_000001405.40 Homo sapiens | reverse complement strand
GAATTCCATTCTAGCACTTGTGAGCATGTGTCTTTGCACCAGTCATGTCTTCTATTTTTTTTTTTTTTGAGATAGAGTCTCACTGTGTTCCAGCCTCTGGAGTAGCTGGGACTACAGGCACACACCACATACCCAGGTAATTTTTTTCATATTTTTAGTAGAAACGGGGTTTTGCCATGTTGGCCAGGCTGGTCTTGAACTCCCAACCTCAGATGACCTGCCTGCTTCGGCCTCCCAAAGGGCTGGGATGGCAGGCCTCTGAGGCTGGAGTACAGTGGTGTGATCTCAGCTCACTGCAACCTCCGCCTCCCGAGTTCAAGCAATCCTCTTGCTTCAGCCCCGAGTAGCTGTAATTACTGGCGTGCGCCACCACACCCAACTCATGTTTGTATTTTTAGTAGAGATGGGGTTTCACTGTGTTGGCCAGGCTGGTCTTGAACTCCTGACCTCAAGTGATCCAGCCGCCCCTGCCTTCCAAAGTGCTGGGATTACATGCAGGAGCCACCCGGCCCAGCCCGTCTTCTATTTAAGCCTCATTTTCCTCATTAAGTCATCATTACCTCTTTCTCCTCACACATAGTGAAATTCAAAGTCTCACTATTTTTTTTTCTTTTTCTTTTTCTTTTTCTTTTTTTTTGAGACGGAGTCTCACTCTGTCGCCCAGGCTGGAGTGCAGTGGCGCGATCTCAGCTCACTGCAAGCTCCGTCTCCCGGGTTCACGCCATTCTCCTGCCTCAGCCTCTTGCGTAGCTGGGACTACAGGCGCCCGCCACCACGCCCGGATAATTTTTGTATTTTTTTTTAGTAGAGACAGGGTTTCACCGTGTTAGCCAGGATGGTCTTGATCTCCTGACCTCATGATCCACCTGCCTCGGTTTCCCAAAGTGCTGGGATTACAGGCGTGAGCCACCGCGCCGGGCCTCACTCCTGTAATCCTAGCCGTGCGCCCCAGGCCCATCCCACCGTCATCTTCCAAACATCATTTTCAACCCTCCTGGCCTCATAGTTATTATTGTATTACCCCAGTTATCTTCCTGCCCCAGGGCACAGGCAGATGCCATTTCATTCTCTCCAGAGCCTCCTTTCTCCTGACAGCCACATGATTAACTCAAGTCTGAACGCATTTGCTCAGATGCCTTCTTTCTCTGTGAGGTCCATCTGGACAAACCTATTTAATATTGCTAGCTGCCATTTCAATCACTGTAAGTCTGTTCTACTTTGTCTTTTCCTTCCATAGCATCATTCCCTCCTGTGTGCTATCCTGACGTTGACCGATGGTGTGTCTCCTCCTGCTAGAATCTAAGTGCTGCACAGTCAAGATATCTGCCTGGCTGACTGTTACAGTGTAGTTCACTGTGTATACTATGCACTTGATGAATATATATATATAATAGTTTTGTTTTTGTTTTTCTGTGAGATGGAGTCTCGCTGTGTCGTGCAGTGGAGTGGAATGCAGTGGCGCGATCTCAGCTCACTGCAACCTCTGCATCCCAGGTTCAACAATTCTCCTGCCTCAGCCTCCTGAGTAGCTGGGATTACAGGCGAGCACCACCAGGCCCGGCTAATTTTTGTATTTTTAGTAGAGATGGGGTTTCACCATGTTGGTCAGGCTGGTCTCGAATTCCTGACCTTGTGATCCAACCACCTTGGCCTCCCGAAGTGTTGGGATTACAGGTGTGAGCCATGATGCCCAGCCTAAGTTTTGTATTTTTAGTAGAGACAGGGTTTCGCCATGTTGGCCAGGCTGGTCTCAAACTCCTGACCTCAAATGATGCACCATCTCGGCCTCCCAAAGTGCTGGGATTACAGGCGTGAGCCACCACGCCTGGCCTCGATGAATATTTTGAATGAATGCCACGTTTTTAGTGTCACTGGGAGGCTCTGATCGCTCGTCTGAGCTTAGAAGGACCAGTTACTCACCAGGAAAGGTGGGGTCTTCAGGTGCAAGGCTGGTGTTCTCAATGTCGCCTGGAAAAGGAGATAAAGAAAAAAAAGTAAGGGTTTTTGGTTTCCTCCGGTCTTGCCATTCTTTTTTTTTTTTTTTTTTTTTTGAGATGGAGTCTTGCTCTGTCGCCCAGGTTGCAGTGCGGTGGTATGATCTCGGTTCACTACAACCCCCGCCTCCCGGGTTCAAGCGATTCTCCTGCCTCAGCCTCCTGAGTAGCTGGGACTACAGGTGTCCGCCACTGCGTCTGGCTAATTTCTGTATTTTTAGTAGAGACGGGGTTTCACCGTCTTGGCCAGGCTGGTCTCGAACTCCTGACCTTGTGATCCACCCGCCTTACCATTCCTTTCTCTGTTCCCTCCTCCTTCCTGCTTCTGGTGTTCTTCCTCACATGACCAACCAGGCACCCAGGAAGTGGACGTCCCTTGGACACCCTCCCCATCACTCTCTGGGGATCCCTCAGGGCTCCAGGTAGCACATGGCGGCGAAGGGTGTGGGGAATTGAGCATTTCCTCACCTGTGACCAGGAGCTTCACTGGCTCACTGGGGAAAGACCAGGCATGGTTGTTATAGGAGCCAAAACATCGGTATGTCCCTCTGTGGGCTGTGGTCACAGGGCCCAGGGGGAACTCCGCCTGGACCTTCCCGTATCCGCGCTGTACGTGGCTGGATCTTCCCTCCTTGAGCAGTAAGAACATGCTTGTTGCAGTGTCTAGACGGCAGTAGAAGGTCACCTTCTCTCCCGAGATCACTTCGGGTCCAGGATGAACCGAGAGGGTGGGTGTGTCATACATTTCTATGAGAGAAGGTGGGGCCACCACACCAGAAACTCAGTGATGAGCAGCCAGCTATTTTTTTTTTTCTTTCTTTAGAGATGGAGTCTCTCTCTGTCGCCCAGGCTGGAGTGCAGTGACACGATCTTGGCTCACTGCAACCTCCGCCTCCCGGGTTCAAGCGTTTCTCCTGCCTCACCCTCCCAAGTAGCTGGGACTACAGGGGCCTGCCACCATGCCTGGCAGCCAGCTTTTTTTTTTTTTTTTAATTATTATTTTGGTCAAATACACACAATAGAAGATTTACCGTCTAAAACCATTTTTAAAAATGATACAGGGTCTTGCTCTGTTTCCCAGGCTGGAGCGCCGTGGCACTATCTTTGCTTACTGAAGCCTCGACCTCCTGGGTCAGGAGTTTGAGACCAGCCTGGTCAACATGGTGAAACCCCGTCTCTACTAAAAATGCAAAAATTAGCCGGGTGTGGTGGCACATGCCTGTAATCTCAACTACTTGGGAGGCTGAGGCAGGAGAATTGAGGCTGAGGCAGAGGTTGCAGTGAGCTGAGATTGTACCACTGCACTGCAGCGAGACTGTCTCAAAAAAAAAAAAAAAAGCCCCGGCCAGCCGCCCCGTCCGGGAGGTTGGGGGGCAGCCCCCGCCCGGCCACTGCCCCGTCTGGGAGGTGGGGGGGCGCCTCTGCCCGGCCGCCCCGTCTGGGAAGTGAGGAGCCCCTCTGCCCGGCCGCCACCCCGTCTGGGAGGTGTACCCAACAGCTCATTGAGAACGGGCCATGATGACGATGGCGGTTTTGTCGAATAGAAAAAGGGGAAATGTGGGGAAAAGAAAGAGAGATCAGATTGTTACTGTGTCTGTGTAGAAAGAAGTAGACATAGGAGACTCCATTTTGTTCTGTACTAAGACAAATTCTTCTGCTTTGGGATGCTGTTAATCTATGACCTTACCCCCAACCCCGTGCTCTCTGAAACATGTGCTGTGTCCACTCAGGGTTAAATGGATTAAGGGCGGTGCAAGATGTGCTTTGTTAAACAGATGCTTGAAGGCAGCATGCTCCTTAAGAGTCATCACCACTCCCTAATCTCAAGTACCCAGGGACACAAACACTGCGGAAGGCCGCAGGGACCTCTGCCTAGGAAAGCCAGAGACCTTTGTTCACATGTTTATCTGCTGACCTTCTCTCCACTATTGTCCTATGACCCTGCCAAATCCCCCTCTCCGAGAAACACCCAAGAATGATCAATAAATACTAAAAAAATTAAAAAAAAAAGAATAAATGAGTAGCTGTGTTCCCCTGCCAGAACCTCCAAACAAGGTCCAAAGACCCTGAGCAAATGAAAAGGCACAGACAAAAAATATATATATTTCAACACAAGTATATGACACAGAATATAGAAATAACTTTTCCTAATCAATCAAAATATAAGCAACCCAATTTAAAAATAGGCAAAAGATTTAAATAGACATTTCACAAAAGAAGATATTTGAATGGACATGAAATACTGTTGTGAGCTGCATAATGACATTTTGGCCAACAATGTACCACATATATGATGGTGGTCCCATAAGATTATAATGAAACTGAAAAATTCCTATTGCCTGATGACATCATAGCCTTCCTAGCACAAAGTATTGCTCATGTGTTTTTGGTGTTGCTGGTATAAACAAACCTAATTGTATAGCACATACAATTATGTATGTATATGTAACTATGTATAATACTTGATAATAATAATAAACAACCATATTGTTAAAAAAAAAAAAAAGCTAATTTTTTTTTTTTTTTAGAAAACCACCACCTGGCTGGGTGTGATGGCTCACACCTGTAATCCCAGCACTTTGGGAGGGTGAGGCGGGCGGATCATCTGAGGTCAGGAGTTCGACACCACCCTGGCCAACATGGTGAAACCCCATCTCTACTAAAAATACAAAATGTGGCGTAGTGGTGGGTGCCTGTGATCCCAGCTACTTGGGAAGCTGAGGCTGGAGAATCACTTGAACCCAGGAGGTGGAGGTTGCAGTGACTGGAGATTGCACCACTGCACTCCAGCCTGGGTGACAAGAGCGAAACTCCGTCTCAAAACAGATAAAAAAAAAAAAAACCCACCACCTGTGATGGGTGAGGGAAGCAAAGTGTAAGCCACTGCGCCTGGCCCACAGGCATTGTTTTTGAGGACATTCCTCAGTCATACCCCTGCATACAAATATCTATCTCAGAATCTGTGTCATGGAGAAACTGACTGAGGACACATCTGCTCCTAGGACGTAGAGACACGGTCTGCAGACAACCCCTTGTAGGCAAGGATTGTGATGGGGATCACCCCTCCTTCCAGCCTCCTACCGAGACAAGCAGTGTCTGAGTGGGGCTTGGAAGAGTTCATAGATGATGCTGCATCCCGGATGCAGACTGAGATCACTCTCCAGTTAGAGAACCGGACAGTTACCTGTTACCACCAGATCCAGCAAGTTGCTGGGCTCTGACCAGAGCTCCCCAACCCGATAGATGCAGCTGTATTGCCCTGCCATGCGGGAGTTCATGTCCGGGATGTAGAATTGGACTTTGTTAATCCGCTCAGGGGGTTTTGGTCTGTCCACGGCAAAAAGGCTTCCTTCAAAGTGCAGCTGGTATTCAACAGCCCCATAATTTCCCTGGCAACAGATGGTCACTTGCTTTTCCTTTGGAACCATGAAATGGGGCTCGGCCCAGATGAACGGTTTTGGGAGAGTCTCTGGAAGGGAATCAGAGGCTGGAGTTCCAGCGGAGCCCCCTCCCCCCAACCTTAGGCTCCACCCAGCTGCTGGCCCCAAGCTCTCCTGGGAAGCCAGCACCCTGTCCCCTCACCCCAGCCGTGCTTGGGTGGAAGGAGCTTGGCCTGAATCCGGAAGAGTGACCCTGGGCTTTGAAGGAAGGACTCACGCTGCTGGGCGCTGATCCTCTGACTCAGACACAGCCCTGGAAGACGGGAGTAATGAGACCTGTTGCCTCCCAGGCACACCGTGATCCCATTCCCCTTCCACGCCAGAACTCACCGACGCAGAGCAGGGCAGGGAGTGTGGAAGACATCGCTCAGATTCTGCCGGCCTAGTGCTGAGCAGTGGGGACTGAGCCGGGCGGGCCAGGGAGATAGATACACAGGAAGTGGTGGGTGAGCACCAGCGCCCATCACCAGAGCGCTTTCACGTTGACTGCTTTCATCAGAACGTTCACAACTCCCCTCCGCCTCTGACCATGAGCTTACAGAAAGGCCGTGGTCCCTCTGACACATCTGTGGTCTAGCCAGCAACTCTGACAATTGTCTGCTCAGCCCAAAATGCATTTCTGGGTCAACTTCTCAATTCTGCAATGTGGAGGTCGTACCCAGAGCTGACTGTGGGAAGTTGTGCCCAATCATGCCCAGAGGAAACCCCCTGAGAATCGTATAAAAACATAGGGAGTTTCACAGTGAGATACTGGAACAGGAATTAAAAGAAATTACAGAATGTGTAAACAAAAACTCAGTTGTATTTAAGAAAACCCAGTTCCCCCCGAGGAAGAGAAAGAGGTGGAGTCCTTTAAACATGAACTGCCTGTTTTTCTGTCTGTGGCTAGTGAGCCTTATCTCTCCCTTTCCCAGGCATTGTGAAGACCCTGTTTCTCTTGCCGTGCGGCTGCAAGGTCACTAGACAGGATAACCTCAAGTCGTAAAACATATTTTTCTTGAAAAGTAAGGAATAATGTGATGCATGTCTCAATTGAATAACTGCCTTTGTTTCTTGCTTCTGTAATATGCTTCCCCCTGCACAGATCTCCCCCAACCCCACAAAATGCTTAAAAGGTAACCGGACTCTCTGTTCGAGCCTCAGTCTTTTTGGATGTTAATCTGACTGGGGCCGGTGCACCTAAATAATAATAATAATAATAAATCCTCCTCAACCCCTCGGTCTCTCTGATTCCTAAATTATCCCTCAACAATACCATCTCACACCAGTCAGAATGGCCATTACTGAAAAGCCAGAAATTAACAGATGCTGGTGAGATTGTGGAGCAAAGGGGACACTTATACACTGTTGGTGGGTGTAAATTAGTTCAGCCACTGTGGAAAGCAGTTTGGTTTGGAGATATTTCAGAGAACTACAAACAGAGTTACCATTCAGCCCAGCAATCCCATCGCTGGGTATATAGCCAAAGGAAAATAAATCATTCTACCAAAAAGACACATGCACTTGTATGTTCATTGCAGCAGGATTCACAATAGTGAAGACATGGAATCCACCCAGGTCCCATCAGAGGTGGACTGGATAAAGACAATGTGATATGTATACACCACAGAACGCTATACAGCCTTGAAAAATCACAAGATTATGTCCTTTGCAGCAACATGGATGCAGCTAGAGGCCATTATCCTAAGCGAGTTAACACAGAAACAGAAAACCAAATACTGGCCAGACACGGTGGCTCAGGCCTGTCATCCCAGCACTTTGGGAGGCTGAGGCAGGTGGATCACCTTAGGTCGGGAGTTCGAGACCAGCCTGACCAACATGCAGAAACCCTGTCTCTACTAAAAATTCAAAATTAGCCGGGTGTGGTGGCACATGCCTGTAGTCCCAACTACTCGGGAGGCTGAGGCAGGAGAATTGCTTGAACCTGGAAGGTGAAGGTTGCAGTGAGCCGAGATGGTGCCATTGTACTCCAGCCTGGGCAACAAGAGTGAAACTCCATCTCAAAAAAAAAAAAAAAAAAGAAAAGAAAACCAAATACCACATGTTCTCACTTATAAGTGAGAGCGCTAAACATTGGGTAAGGAGGGGAGCAAGGCTTGAAAATCTACCTATTTGGTGACTAGATCATTAATGCAAGCCTCAGCATCATGCAATATACTCATAAAAAACCTGCACATGTATCTGCTGAATCTAAAAAGATAAAAATAGGGGTTTTGACGTTGGCTTCTCTGTGTACAGTATACATATGCTTGGATAAGTTAATTGGTTTCATCAGAATGGAATGATAACACTATCTTCTTCAAAGATAGTGTTATAATGTTTCAATAAAATAAAAGTGAAAAGAAAAGCTTTTCATTTAAAGAACTTAATAAGAAAAGAAACATTTCTTTTCTTTTTCTTTTTCTTTCTTTTTTTTTTTTTTTTTTGAGACAGAGTCTTGCTCTGTTGCCCAGGCTGTGGTGCAGTGGTGTGATCTCAGCTCACTGCAACCTCTGCCTTGTGGGTTCAAGCAATTCTCCTGCCTCAGCCACCTGAGTAGCTGGGACTACAGACACCCAACACCACGCCCAGCTCATTTTTGTACTTTTAGTAGAGACCGGTTTTTACCACGTTGGCCAGGATGGTCTCCAACTCCTCACCTCAAGTGAATCTTCCTGCCTCGGCCTCTCAAAGTGCTGGGATTACAGGTGTGAGCCACCACACCCAGCCAAGAAACATTTCTTTTAAGTAAGTAACTAACTCTCCACTTAATAAAAAAAAATTCTATGCAGAAGTTGTTAAGATCTACAGTAAGAAAAAAGAAATTCATGCATTTTATATATACACACATATATACATATATACCTTTTATATATATACACATATATACATTTATACATATATGTATACATATATACATATATGTGTATATATACTGCATAGTACCGTACATGTATATATACACATGCATATATACACATACATGTATATGCGTATATATACACATATATGTATATATACACACATGCATACATGCATATATATGTATACACACATGTATGCGTGTATACATACATATATGTATATACATACATGTATCCGTGTATACATACATATATGTATATACATACATGTATGCGTGTATACATACATGTATGCGTGTATACATACATATACATATATGTATATACATACATGTATATATACATGTATGTATATATGCATATATGTATATACATACATGTATATATACATGTATGTATACATATACGTATATGTGTATATATGTATATACATATATATATACATGTAAGGTACTATGTAGTTTTCAGCATCCACTGGGGCCTTGGAATATATCCTGGTGGATACATGTGACTACTGTACAAGACTAGTTGTATCTTCTTGAGGCAAACAAATGTGCTAATTCTTTTTTTTTTCTCTTTAAGACGGAATCTCACTCTGTCCCTCAAGCTGGGGTGCAGTGGTGCAATCTCAGCTCACTGCAACCTTCACCTCCTGGGTTCAAGCAATTCTCCTGTTCTAGCCTCCCAAGTAGCTGGGATTACAGGCGTGTGCCACCACACTCGACTAATTTTTGTATTTTTAGTAGAGACAGGGTTTCCCCATGTTGGCCAGGCTAGTCTCGAACTCTTGACCTCAAGTGATCAGCCCACTTTAGCCTCCCAAAGTGCTGGGATTACAGGCGTGAGCCACCACACCCAGCCCGCCTCCTTCTTATTTACTGAAGATTCAGTACTCGGTGCTGGCGTTTCCCCTTACACAGCTGTCATAACTCTGGGTGTTTTCTTTATCCTTCCCCCTACGGAGCGCTTGGATGCCCTCTATGGAGGAGACTTATGTAGGCTGGATCCTCAGACCTCAGCCACCCTCTCAGCCATAACATAGTTACCTTCACCAAAGAAATATAAGAATATTGTCTTTTATTATTTTGAGCTTTTAATTTTGACATAATTCCAGACTTGCAAAAATAGTTTAAAGAATTTCTGGCCAGGTGCAGTGGCTCACACCTGTAATCCCAGCACTTTGGGAGGCCGAGGTGGGTGGATTGCTTGAGACGAGCCTGGGGGAAAAAAAAATGCAAAAATTAGCCAGGTGTGGTGCTGTGCGCCTATAGTCCCAGCTACTTGGGAGGCTGAGGTGAGAGGGTCATCTGAGCCCAGGGAGGTAGAAGCTGCAGTGAGCCATGATCGTGCCACTGCACTCTAGCCTGGGTGACAGAGTGTTACCCTGTCTATAAAAAAAAAAAAAATCTGTAATTTCTTCATCCAGATTTCCCCAAAGTTAGCATTTTACCACATTTGCTTCATCATTCAGCCTCTCTCCCTCTCCCTCTCTCCCCGAAGAAAGTGTGTCTAATTTGCATATGATGCCCTAAACCTCTAATCACTTCAGGTTATATTTCCCAAAACCAAGGACATTCTGTTATTAATGTTCAAGGTCAAGAAATAGCACTGATATGACACTATTGTCTGATCTATCCACTTTATTCAAATTTCACCACTTGTTTTACCAGTGACATATATTTGGTTTAGGATTTAATCCAAGATTACACAATTTATTTAATTGTCATGTCTCTCTTATTTGGAGATGGAATCTTGCTCTGTAGCCCAGGCTGGAGTGCAATGGTGTGATCTCAGCTCACTGCAACCTCCGCCTCCTGGGTTCAAGCAATTCTCTTGCCTCAGCTTCCTGAGTAGCTGGGATTAGAGGCACCCACAACCACGCCCAGCTAATTTTTGTATTTCTAGTAGAGATGGGGTTTCGTCAAGTTGGCCAGGCTGGTTTTGAACTCCTGAACTCAACTGATCCACCTGCCTCAGCCTCCCAAAGTGCTGGGATTAGAGGCATGAGCCACCACGCCCAGCCTCCTTTAAAAAATAAAACTATAGACTTTATTCTGATTTCACCAGTTTTTCCACTAGCATCCTTTCTTCGCTCCAGGAGCTCCAGTGATCCGCCTGCCTCAGCCTCCCACCTGCCTCGGCCTCCCAAGGTATTGGGATTACAGGTGTGAGCCATCTGGATCTATTTAATTCAGCCTTAAGCCCACACCAGCATTCCTGGGACTGTCCCCCCTCTACAGACTCTAAGCCATGTTTGAGATGATGAATTTCAAGTCGTGATTCAATCACTTAAGTGGTAAGTGACACAGAGGATATTACTAATCTTTTTTTTTTTTTTTTTTTTTTTTGAGATGGACTCTCGCTCTGTCACCCATGCTGGAGTGCAGTGGCGCAATCTCGGCTCTCTGCAAGCTCTGCCTCCGGGGTTTATGCCATTCTCTTGCCTCAGCCTCCTGAGTGGCGCAATCTCGACTCACTGCAAGCTCTGCCTCCCGAGTTTATGCCATTCTCCTGCCTCAGCCTCCTGAGTAGCTAGGACTACAGGTGCCCACCACCACGTCCGGGTAATCTTTTTTTTTTTTTTTCAAAGTAGAGATGGGGTTTCACCATGTTAGCCAGGATGGTCTCCATCTCCTGACCTCGTGATCCGCCCTTCTCGGCCTCCCAAAGTGCTGGGATTACAGGCGTGAGCCACCGCACCCGGCCTTTTTTTGGTATTTAAAAATATAACTTTATTGAGATATAATTTACATGCCATACAATTACCCATTAAAAGTGCATAATTCAATGGTTTAAATTTTGTGGTATTCACGGAGTTGGTGCAACCGTCAACACAGTCTAATTTTAGAATGTTGTCATCACTGCCCTTCAGAACCCCATGCCGACCAGCTGCCCATCACCACGATCCCCTCACTCTCCCGGCCCTAGGCAACCACTCATCTTCTGTCTCTAAACACCAGAAGGTACTTTTCAAAAATTGTGGCAAAATACACATAACATACATTTTAATATTTAAGAAGTTTTCTAAGGCCAGGTGCAGTGGGTCATGCCTGTAATCCCAGCACTTTGGGAGGCCGAGGTGTGCGGATCACCAGGTCAGGTGATCCAGACTGTCAGGCCTCTGAGCCCAAGCTAAGCCATCATATCCCCCTGTGGCCTGTATGTACACATCCAGATGGCCGGTTCCTGCCTTAACTGATGACATTCCACCACGAAAGAAATGAAAATGGCCTGTTCTTGCCTTAAGTGATGACATTATCTTATGAAATTCCTTCTCCTGGCTCATCCCGGCTCAAAAGCTCCCCTACTGAGCACCTTGTGAACCCCACTCCTGCCCGCCAGAGAACAACCCCCTTTTGACTGTAATTTTCCTTTACCTACCCAAATCCTATAAAACGGCCGCACTCCTATCTCCCTTTGCTGACTCTCTTTCTGGACTCAGCCCGCCTGCACCCAGGTGAAATAAACAGCCTTGTTGCTCACACAAATCCTGTTTGGTGGTCTCTTCACACGGACGTGAGTGAAATTTGGTGCCATAACTCGAATCAGGGGATCTTCCTTAGGAGATCAATCCCCTGTCCTCCTGCTCTTTGCTCCATGAGAAAGATCCACCTACGACCTCTCGTCCTCAGACCAACCAGCCCAAGGAACATCTCACCAATTTTAAATCCAGTAAGCAGCCTCTTTTTACTCTCTTCTCCAACCTCTCTCACTATCCCTCAACCACTTTCTCCTTTCCACTCTTCAATCTCTCCCTTCTCTTAATTTCAGTTCCTTTCCTTTTCTGGTAGAGACAGGAGACGCGCTTTATTCGTGGACCCAAAACTCCAGCGCCGGTCATGGACTCGGGAAGGCAGCCTTCCCTTGGTGTTTAATCACGCGGGGACACCTCTCTGATTATTCACCCACGTTTCAGAGGTGTCTGACCACATGGGGATGCCTGCCTTGGTCCTTCACCCTTAGTGGCAAGTACTGCTTTTCTGGGGGGGCAAGAACCCCCAACTCCTTCTCTGTGTCTCTACCCCTTCTCTGCTTTTCTGGGGGGGCAAGAACCCCCCAACCCCTTCTCCTTCACCCTTAGTGGCAAGTACCGCTTTTCTAGGGGGCAAGAATCCCCCGATCCCTTATTTCTGTGCCCTGACGTCTTATCTCTGCACCCCGATCCCTTATTTCCACACCCCGACCTCTTGTCTCTGCACCCCAATCCCTTACTTCTGTGCCCTGACCCCTTTCCCGCTTTTCTGGAAGGTAAGAACCCCTGAACCCCTTCCCTCCATGTCTCTACTCTCTCTTTTCTCTGTGCTTGCCTCCTTCAGTATGGGCAACCTTCCACCCTCCATTCCTCCTTCTTCTCCCTTAGCCTGTGTTCTTAAAAACCTAAAACCTCTTCAACTCACACCTGACCTAAAACCTAAATGCCTTATTTTCTTCTGCAATGCTGCTTGACCCCAATACAAACTTGACAGTGGTTCCAAATAGCCAGAAAACGGCACTTTCAATTTTTCCATCCTACAAGATCTAAATAATTCTTGTTGTAAAATGGGCAAACGGTCTGAGGTGCCTGACATCCAGGCATTCTTTTACACATCGGTCCCTCCCTAGTCTCTATGCCCAGTGCAACTCGTCCCAAATCTTCCTTCTTTCCCTCCCGCCTGTCCCGTCAGTCCCAACCCCAAGCATCGCTGAGTCTTTCTAATCTTCCTTTTCTACAGACCCATCTGACATCTCCCCTCCTCGCCAGGCCGAGCTGGGTCCCAATTCTTCCTCAGCCTCCGCTCCTCCACCCTATAATCCTTTTATCACCTCCCCTCCTCACACCCGGTCCAGCTTACAGTTCCATTCCATGACTAGCCCTCCCCCAACTGCCCAGCAATTTCCTCTTAAAAAGGTGGCTGAAGCTAAAGGCATAGTCAAGGTTAATGCTCCTTTTTCTTTATCTGACCTCTCCCAAATCAGATAGTGTTTAGGCTCTTTTTCATCAAATTTAAAAACACAGCCCAGTTCATGGCTCATTTGGCAGCAACCCTGAGACGCTTTACAGCCCTAGACCCTAAGTCAAAAGGCCGTCTTATTCTCAATATACATTTTATTACCAAATCTGCTCCCAACATTAAATAAAGCTCCAAAAATTAAATTCTGTCCCTCAAACCCCACAACAAGACTTAATTAACCTCGCCTTCAAGGTGTACAGTAATAGAGTAGAGGCAGCCAAATAGCAACATATTTCTGAGTTGCAATTCCTTGCCTCCACTCCAGTATCCAGATGAGACAAACCCCAGCCACATCTCCAGCACACGAGAACTCCAAACGCCTGAACCGCAGCTGCCAGGGGTTCCTCCAGAACCTCTTCCCCCAGGAGCTTGCTACAAGTACTGGAAATCTGGCCACTGGGCCAAGGAATGTCCACAGCCTGGGATTCCTCCTAAGCCGCATCCCATCTGTGCGGGACCCCACTGAAAATCGGACTGTTCAACTCACCTGGCAGCCACTCCCAGAGCAGCTAGAACTCTGGCCCAAGGCTCTCTGACTCCTTCCCAGATCTTCTCGGCTTAGCAGCTGAAGACTGACACTGCCCGATCCCGATCGCCTCGGAAGCCTACAGGACCATCACAGACAGTCTAGGTAACTCTCACAGTGGAAGGTAAGCCCGTCCCCTTCTTAATCAATATGGAGGCTACCCACTCCACATTACCTTCTTTTCAAGGGCCTGTTTCTCTTGCCTCCATAACTGTTGTAGGTATTGACAGCTAGGCTTCTAAACCTCTTAAAACTCCCCAACTCTGGTGCCAACTTAGACAATACTCTTTCAAGCACTCCTTTTTAGTTATCCCCACCTGCCCAGTTCCCTTATTAGGCTGAGACACTTTAACTAAATTATCTGCTTCCCTGACTATTCCTGGACTACAGCTATATCTCATTGCTGCCCTTCTTCCCAATCCAAAGCCTCCTTTGTGTCCTCCTCTTGTATCCCCCCACCTTAACCCACAAGTATAGGATACCTCTACTCCCTCCTTGGTGACCAATCATGCACCCCTTACCATCTCATTAAAACCTAATCAACCTTACCCCGCTCAATGCCAATATCCCATCCCACAGCATGCTTTAAAAGGATTAAAGCCTGCTACAGCATGGCCTTTTAAAGCCTATAAACTCCCCTTACAATTCTCCCATTTTACCTGTCCTAAAACCAGACAAGGCTTACACATTAGTTCAGGATCTGCACCTTATCAACCAAATTGTTTTGCCTATCCACCCCGTAGTGCCAAACCCATATACTCTCCTATCCTCAATACCTGCCTCTACAACCCATTATTCTGTTCTGGATCTCAAACATGCTTTCTTTACTGTTCCTTTGCACCCTTCATCCCAGCCTCTCTTCGCTTTCACTTGGACTGACCCTGACACCGATCAAGCTCAGCAAATTACCTAGGCTGTACTGCTGCAAGGCTTCACAGACAGCCCCCATTACTTCAGTCAAGCCCAAATTTCTTCCTCCTCTGTTACCTATCTCGGCATAATTCTCATAAAAACACACGTGCTCTCCCTGCCAATCGTGTCCTAGTGATCTCTCAAACCCCAGCACCTTCTACAAAACAACAACTCCTTTCCTTCCTAGGCATGGTTAGCGTGGTCAGAACTCTTACACAAGAGCCAGGACCGCACCCTGTAGCCTTTCTGTCCAAACAACTTGATCTTACTGTTTTAGCCTAGCCCTCACGTCTGTGAGCAGCGGCTGCCGCTGCTTTAATAGTTTTAGAGGCCCTCAAAATCACAAACTATGCTCAACTCACTCTCTACAGTTCTCATAACTTCCAAAAATCTATTTTCTTCCTCACACCTGACGCATATACTTTCTGCTCCCCGGCTCCTTCAGCTGTACTCACTCTTTGTTGAGTCTCCCACAATTACCATTGTTACTGGCCCATACTTCAATCCGGCCTCCCACATTATTCCGGATACCACACCTGACCCCCATGACTGTATCTCTCTGATCCACCTGACATTCACCCCATTTCCCCACATTTCCTTCTTTCCTATTCCTCACCCTAATCACATTTAGTTTATTGATGGCAGTTCCACCAGGCCTAATCGCCACTCACCAGCAAAGGCAGGCTATGCTATAGTATCTTCCACATCTATCATTGAGGCTACCGCTCTGCCCCCTCCACTACCTCTCAGCAAGCCGAATTAGTTGCCTTAACTCAAGCCCTCACTGATGCAAAAGGACTATGCATCAATATTTATACTGACTCTAAATATGCCTTTCATATTCTGCCCCACCATGCGGTCATATGGGCTGAAAGAGGTTTCCTCACTACACAAGGGTCCTCCATCTTTAATGCCTCCTTAATAAAAACTCTGCTCAAGGCCGCTTTACTCCCAGAGGAAGCTGGAGTCATTCACTGCAAAGGCCATCAAAAGTCATCAGATCCCATTGCTCTAGACAATGCCTATGCTGACAAGGTGGCTAGACAAGCAGCTAGCTTTCCAACTTCTGTCTCTCACATCTATGCTTATGCTGATAAGGTAGCTAGACAAGCAGCTAGCATGCCAATTTCTGTCCCCCACAGCCAGTTTTTCTCCTTCTCATCAGTCACTCCCACCTACTCCCCCACTGAAACTTCCACCCATCAATCTCTTCCCACACAAGGCAAATGGTTCTTAGACCAAGGAAAATACCTCCTTCCAGCCTCACAGGCCCATTCTATTCGGTCGATATTTCATAGCCTCTTCCATGTAGGTTACAAGCTGCTAGCCCATCTCTTAGAACCTCTCATTTCCTTTCCATCCTGGAAATCTATCCTCAAGGAAACCACTTCTCAGTGTTCCATCTGCTATTCTACTACCCCTCAGGGATTGCTCAGGTCCCCTCCCTTCCCTACACATCAGGCTCGGGGATTTGCCCCCGCCTAGGACTGGCAAATTGACTTTACTCACATGCCCTGAGTCAGGAAACTAAAATACCTCTTGGTCTGGGTAGACACTTTCACTGGATGGGTAGAGGCCTTTCCCACAGGGTCTGAGAAGGCCACCGAGGTCATTTCTTCCCTTCTGTCAGACATAATTCCACAGTTTGGCCTTCCCACCTCTATACAGTCTGATAGCAGACCGGCCTTTATTAGTCAAATCAGCCAAGCAGTTTTTCAGGCTCTTGGTATTCAGTGAAACCTTTATATCCCTTACAGTCCTCAGTCTTCAGGAAAAGTAGAACAGACTAATAGTCTTTTAAAAACACACCTCACCAAGCTCAGCCACCAACTTAAAAAAGACTGGACAATACTTTTACCACTTTCTTTTCTCAGAATTCAGGCCTGTCCTCAGAATGCTAAAGGGTACAGCCCATTTGAGCTCCTGTATAGACGCTCCTTTTTATTAAGCCCCAGTCTCATTCCAGACACCAGACCAACTTGGAATGTGCCCCCAAAAACTTGTCATCCCTACTATCTTCTGTCTAGTCATACTCCTATTCACCATTCTCAACTACTCACACATGCCCTGCTCTTGTTTACACTGCTGGTTTACACTGTTTTTCCAAGCCATCACAGCTGATATCTCCTGGTGCTATCCCCAAACCACCACTCTTAACTCTTGAAGTAAATAAATAATCTTTGCTGGCAAGGCTATGCTGAACCTCCTTAGGCACTCTCTAATTAGATGTCCTAGGTCCTCCCAATTCTTAGACCTTTAATACCTGTTTTTCTCCTTTCCTTATTCCATTTAGTTTTTCAATTCATACAAAACTGCATCCAGGCCATCACCAGTAATTCTAAATGAAAAATGTTTCTTCTAACAATCCCACAATATCACCCCTTACCACAAAATCTTCCTTCAGCTTAATCTCTCCCACTCTAGGTTCCCACGCCGCCCCTAATCCCGCTCGAAGCAGCCCTGAGAAACATCGCCCATTCTCTCTCCATACCACCCCCCAAAATTTTCGCCATCCCAACACTTTACCACTATTTCGTTTTATTTTTCTTATTAATATAAGAAGACAGGAATGTCAGGCCTCTGAGCCCAAGCTAAGCCATCATATCCCCTGTGACCTGCACGTACACATCCAGATGGCCGGTTCCTGCCTTAACTGATGACATTCCACCACGAAAGAAATGAAAATGGCCTGTTCCTGCCTTAACTGATGACATTATCTTGTGAAATTCCTTCTTCTGGTTCATCCTGACTCAAAAGCTCCCCTACTGAGCACCTTGTGACCCCCCACTCCTGCCCACCAAAGAACAACCCCCCTTTGACTGTAATTTTCCTTTACCTACCCAAATCCTATAAAACGGCCCCACCCCTATCCCCCTTCGCTGACTCTCTTGTCGGACTCAGCCTGCCTGCACCCAGGTGAAATAAACAGCCTTGTTGCTCACACAGAGCCTGTTTGGTGGTCTCTTCACACGGACGCGCATGAAACAGACCAGCCTAGCCAACATGGTGAAACCCCGTCTCCACGAAAATACAAGAAATTAGCCGGGCGTGGCGGTGCGCACCTGTAGTTCCAGCTACTCGGGAGGCTGAGGCAGGGGAATCACTTGAACCTGGGAGGCGGAGATTGCAGTGAGCCCAGATCACACCAGCGTAGCGACAGAGTGAAACTCTGTCTCAAAAAAAAAAAAAAAAAAAAAAGAAAAAGAAGTTTTCTAAGGCCAGGCGCAGTGGCTCATGCCTGTAATCCAAGCACTTTTGGGAGGCTGAGGCGGGCAGATCACCTGAGGCCGGGAGTTCGAGACCGGCCTGACCAACATGGTGAAACCCTGTCTCTACTAAAAATACAAAAATGAGCTGGGCATGGCGGCGGGTGCCTGTAATCCCAGCTTCTTGGGTGCGGGGGGGATCTGTTCTGCAGATCCCAGCTGTACGACAGATGAGACACGTCCTCAGACACCAATATTCAGTGAAAGAGCAGGCCAGGGGGCTGCCGGCACTAGGAGCCAAAGAGAGTGCAGCCCCTCTAAGCTGGCAACGCTTGCATTTATTTAGCACAGATTTAATTAACAAAGGCTTTGAGTCAACACACCTGTGGGTAATTAACCTGGTCACCGCCCCCCGCCACCTCCCTGGAGAGGGCCATCTTGCCCGAGAATGATCAAAGGTTGATTTTAGGACCATATGACTAAGCAAGCTATTTAGATAAAATACTCCGCATTCCTTTGTATCTGCGCCCTAAGCTGTTTGGCTCCTGAAAAGAGAATCTGGCTGCTTTCAGCCAAACTATCTGAAGCTATGCCAACCTCCCTGGCCTTCCAAGAAGGTTTGCTGCTTCCTATTCCTATAATTTCTTCTGCTACTCTGACTGATCTCCCACACTTGGGAGGTTGAGGCAGGAGAATCCCTTGAACCAGGGAGGCAGAGGTTGCAGTGAGCCGAGATCACACTACTGCACTCCAACTTGGGTGACAAGAGCGAGACTCCATCTCAGAAAAAAAAGTTAAAAAAAAATTGTAGGCCAGGCGTGGTGGCTCACGCCTGTGATCCCAGCACTTTGGGAGGCCAAGGCGGGTGGATCACCTGAGGTCCAGAGTTCGAGACCAGCCTGACCAACATGGAGAAACCCCGTCTCTTCTAAAAATATAAAATTAGCCAGGCGTGGTGGCGCATGCCTGTAATCCCAGCTGCTCTGGAGGCTGAGGCAGGAGAATGGCTTGAGCCCAGGAGGCGGAGGTTGCGGTGAGCCGAGACCGCACCATTGCACTCCAGCCTGGGCAACAAGAGTGAGACTCTGTCTCAGAAAAAAAAAAAAAAAAATTGTAGTAAAAACATAACATACAATTTACCATCTTAGCCATTGTAAGTGTACAGTATAGCAGTGTTAAATGTATTCACGGTGTTTTGAAACAGATCTCCAGAATATTTTCATCTTGTAAAACTGAAACTCTATGCCTAAAAGAGGAATCGTTCAACACATAGAAGTTTTATTTCAACCATTTTTGTTGTTGTTGTTGAGATGGAGTCTTGCTCTGTCACCAAGGCTGGAGTGCGGTGGTACGATCTTGGCTCACTGCAACCTCCGCCTCCTGGGTTCAAGCCATTCTCCTGCCTCAGCCTCCTCAGTAGCTGGTAATGCAGGTGCGTGCCACCACACCTGGCTAATTTTTGTATTTTTAGTAGAGACGGGGTTTTGCCATGTTGGCCAGGCTGGTCTCGAACTCCTGGCCTCGTGATCTGCCTGCCTTAGCCTCCCAAAGTGCTGGGATTTCAGGTGTGAGCCACTGCGCTCAGCCTGGGAAATGTATACTTCAGAGATTGTTGGATTTTCAGGGCCTTCTGTGGCTTGACGTCATCTGGAAAAGTGTGGTCATTGGGAAGATATTACTTTGATTGGTTGTCACTCATGCTTGGGTGTTTACTGAAATGAGTCTGATTGGATGACTTTTAGAAGCAAGGAGCTGCCTGACTGATGGTAACATAACAATATAAAACGTATGGAGTGGCCGGGCTTTGTGGCTCACTCCTGTAATCCCAGCACTTTGAGAGGCTGAGGCAGGCAGATCACCCTGAGGTCAGAAGTTTGTGACCAGCTTGGCCAACATGGCGAAACCCGTCTGTACTAAAAATACAAAAATTATCTGCGTGTGGTGGCAGGTGCCTATAATCCCAGCTACTGGGGAGGCTGAGGCAGGAGAATTGCTGAACCCGGGAAAGAGAGGTTGCAGGGAGCCGAGGTCACGTCACTGCTCCCCAGCCTGGGTGACAGAGCAAGACCCCGTCTCAAAAAAAAAAAAAAAAAAAAAGAGCATCTTCACAGAGATGAGTTGTCATTGATGATGGGTTAAAAATCAGTTTTGGTGGCTACTTGTTACTGTGGTTACAGGACAATAAAATACTTTTCTGAAGAGCTCAGGAACTTTATTATTCTGAAAACGCTTTTTCCAAACAAGGTCCTTCTGTCAGCAAAACGACTTATATGAGTTTAATCTTATCCATCTCTGGGAATCTAGCCCCATTGTGTCTCTGTAATCCAAGTCCTGGACCTGACGTAAAGTCCCTCAACCCCCTTCATCCAAAATTGTGGCACTTTCCCTTTATTTATTTATTTATTATTTATTTGTTTGTTTACTTTTGAGACGGAGTCTCGCTCTGTGGCCCAGGCTGGAGTGTAGTGGCGTGATCTCAGCTCATTGCAAGCCCCGCCTCCCAGGTTCACGCCATTCTCCTGCCTCAGCCCCTGGAGTAGCTGGGACTACAGGCACCTGCCACCACACCTGGTGAAAAAAATCAGAACAAACTGAAGATATGGGCCAGAACTTGTATAAAGTGTGAAAAGCAGTCAATAAAGAAAGTTAGAAATACTTTGCATTTTTTTTTTAATCACAGGACCTGAGTTAAGCCAAGAATACAGTAGAAATTTTATCAAGTAGAGATAAGCTCTCAGTAAAGGATAAAAGTGGGCCTAAGTCCCTTCAGTTTCACTGGAAGTAGGACCCTTACATTTTATAATTATATTTTCATACATAAGCTACTGGACAATGAAGTAAATAGCAATCAGTGAAAGAGCCACATATGACCAACTTAGATTTCCTTGAGTAAAGTCTGTCAAGGGTAAAGCTGTGAAAGTTTATAAGAAAAAAGAATGGGGAATTATTTGGAAGACCATTTGAGTTTTGTACACAAGAATTTAATGTTTGCACACTTGATAATATATGTGAATATCATCAAAACTAAGTGAAAAAATAAATTAATGAGGTGAAACACATGCCTGTATTCCTTGTATGAAAATCCGGTAGAAATAGGGTTTGTGAAATAAATAGGGTAATCCTCCTGTAGGATTATGACTTTCACTCTTATCAATTTGTAGATGAACACAGCAGGAGGCTGAGGTAGGAGGATTGCTTGAGACCAGGAGTTCAAGACCAGCTTAGGCAACATAGGGAGAGCCTCACTTCAACAAAAAAAAATAAAGGAGGGGGGTTATTGAATATATTTGGCATGCTTACCAACCATTTATATTTGGGGAAGACACATTTAAAAATATAAAAAGAAGGCTGGGCGCAGTGGCTCACATCTGTAATCCCAGCACTTTGGGAGGCCGAGGCGGGCAGATCACGAGGTCAGAAGTTTGAGACCAGCTTGGCCAATGTGATGAAACCCCGTCTCTACTAAAAATACTGTAAAAGTAGCTGGGCGTGATGGTGGGAGCCTGCAATCCCAGCTACTTGGGAGGCCGAGGCAGGAGAATCACTTGAACCCAGGAGGCAGAGGTTGCAGTGAGCCGAGATCGTGCCACTGCACTCCAGCCTGGGCAACAGAGTGAGACTCTGTCTCAAATAAAAATAAAAATAAAAATAAATAAAATAAATAAAAAAAGAGAAGAACAATGAAGGAAGAAATTAAACAGGATATAAAAAATCAGAAGACAGATAAGATGGAAAACCATAACTTATGTGCAGAAAGGTGGGTGCAAATCGATCAGTCCTGCATAAGAAAACACCATTTGATTGGTTTGAACATGCATCTGGCCAGGCGTGGTGGCTCATGCCTATAATCTCAGCACTTTGGGAGGCCAAGGTGGGTGGATCACCTGAGGTCAGGAGTTCGAGACCAGCCTGGCCAACACAGTGAAACCCCATCTCTACTAAAAATACAAAAATTAGCTGGGTGCAGTGGTATGTGCCTGTAATTCCAGCTACTTGGGAGGCTGAGGCACAAGAATCACTTGAACCCAAGAGGTTCAATGAGCCGAGATTGCTCCACTGCACTCCAGCCTGGGTGACAGAGCCAGACTCTGTCTCAAAAAAAAAAAAAAGTAGATTCAAGCTTCTTAGTGAGCTTTTCTCTCTTGTGTCCTTCAAGTAGCTTTGTCGGACTCCACAGTCCTGGCTCCTCTCTGCCTTCACCTCCAGGTGTTTACTTGCAGACACTTGGTGTTCGTGCAAAGGTCAATCCTGGCTGACACATCTGTTGGCTCCAGCTCGGTTCAGCCACATCTGCCGAGGCTTCCTTGTTCAGTGCCGTATGGCTGTGCCAATTTTCAACCAGTATGGCCAAGAGAGCCACGAGGACCAGTCCTGCCACGGCCATGCGGATCAAGTTCTGCGTCGTGTAATCTTGGTGGATGGAGTCTGGAGACACAATTCAAGGAGATGAATGGTTGGTGGTTGTGTTCCATTCCATCCCAACCCCAGAGCCCTGAAACGGGAGCTCATTTTCCTTTTCGCTTGCCAAAATGGGACTCCCTCAAGCATCCCCTCAATGAGCTCATGCTTCGCCAGCACCACACTGATCAGTCAGCAAGACTGTGTTCACGGGCAAGGAACTGTGCTTCCCAGGGAAGTGCTATAAACTGGGAAGGAGGTGATTATGGGCAGGTTGTGTGTGTTTTTTTTTTTTTTTTTTTTTGAGATGGAGTCTCACTCTGTTGCCCAGGCTGGAGTGCAGTGGCGTGATCTCGGCTCACTGCAACCTCCGCCTCCCTGGTCAAGTGATTCTCCTGCCTCAGCCTCCCAAGTAGCTGGGATTACAGGCGCCCACCACCACCACGCCTGGTTAATTTTTGTATTTTTAGTGGAGATGGGGTTTCACTATGTTGGCCAGGCTGGTCTCGAACTCCCGACCTCAGGTGATCCACCTGCCTCAGCCTCCCAATGTGCTCAGATTACAGGCGTGAGCCATCGTGCCCAACCATGTTTTTTTTTTTTTTCTTGAGGTGGAGTCTCGTTCTGTCACCCAGGCTGGAGTGCAATGGCGTGATCTTGGCTCACTGCAACAGCTGCCTCCTGGGTTCAAGTGATTCTCCTGCCTCAGCCTCCTGAGTAGCTGGGACGACAGGCTCACGCCACCACGCCCGGCCAGGCAGGTTG
Source organism: Homo sapiens (assembly GCF_000001405.40). NCBI lineage: Eukaryota > Metazoa > Chordata > Mammalia > Primates > Hominidae > Homo > Homo sapiens. The sequence continues at coordinate 217,983 of NW_016107304.1, read as the reverse complement.
TGTTTTCTTTTCATTCTCTCCTCACTTGGTGAATTCACTAAATACCTAATCACATCTCTACAACACCAGAACAAGGTGGAATCCTAATAAGAATGTGTGCAGCCTGGCCAGGCGCGGTGGCTCACGCCTGTAATCCCAGCACTTTGGGAGGCCGAGGCAGGTGGATCACCTGAGGTCGGGAGTTCGAGACCAGCCTGGCCAACATGGTGAAACCCTGTCTGTGTGGTCCCAGCTACTCAGGAGGCTGAGGCAGGAGAATTGCTTGAACCTGGGAGGCGAAGGTTGCAGTGAGTCGAGATCGTGCCACTGCACTCCAGCCTTGGCGAAAGAGCAAGACTCTATCCCGGAAAATAAAATGAAATAAATAAAATGAAACAAACTGAGTTAGCCCTTCTGTTCTCCACAGACTAAGTTTTCAATGAACCCTGTCTGGAGAACTCTAGCGAGGAAGTGAAAGCGGAAAGTGTGGTGGGGAAGCCTTTCTCTCTCCACTGTCCTGGAGTGAGAGCCTTTGCCTCTCTTCACTTCACTCTCAGTGCACGTCTTCATATTCCTGCCCGGTGGCAAGGCCCTGGACAGCCAACCCAGACACAGGGCTGGACTGGGCGGTACCTACCTGTGACCACAAGCTCCAAGGCATTACTGGGGAAGGACCACAGGTAGGGGCTCCTGTTGTACCAACCGTAGCACCTGTAGATCCCTGAGACATTGAGGTCCACAGGACCCAAAGAGAAGTTGGCCGGGTGTTCCCCACTTTGGTGCTGTGGCAGAGAAAGTTCTCCCTCCTTGGCCAGTGAAAATCTATCAAATGGGATGTGTGCTGAGCTGCACGTGAGGGAAATATTCTCTCCTGGCATCAACACCAGACCCCGATCTGCAGAGAGGAAGGGTTTGCCATACAAGCCTAAGAGAGAAAAGAGTGAGCTATTAGAAAGACCTTTTCTCCTTTATTCTTTTCTTCTTCTTATTATTGTTATTATTATATATTTTTTTGAGATGGAGTTTCGCTCTTATTGCCCAAGCTGGAGTGCAGTGGCGTGATCTCAGCTCACTGCAACCTCCGTCTCCCGGGTTCAAGCAATTCTCCTGCCTCAGCCTCCCGAGAAACTGGGATTACAGGTGCGTACCACCACGCCCAGCTAATTTTTGTATTTTTAGTAGAGACGGGGTCTCTCCATGTTGGTCAGGCTGGTCTCGAACTCCTGACCTCAGGTGATTTGCCCACCTTGGCCTCCCAAAGTGCTGGGATTACAGGCATGAGCAACTGTGCCCAGCCTATTATTGTTTTTTGAGATGGAGTCTCACTCTGTCACTGAGGCTGCAGTGCAGTGGCACGATCTCAGCTCACTGCAACCTCCACCTCCGAGGTTCAAGTGAGTCTCCTGCCTCAGCCTCCCGAGTAGCTGGGATTACAGGCACCCGCCACCACGCCCAGCTAATTTTTGTATTTTTAGTAAAGATGAGGTTTCTCCATGTTGGTCAGGCTGGTCTTGAATCCCTGACCTCAGGTGATCCACCTGCCTCAGCCTCCCAAAGTGCTGGGATTACAGGCGTGAACCACAGTGCCCAGCCTCTTTTTTCTTTTTTAGAATTTATTTATTTTAGAGAGGGTCTCACTCTGTCGCCCAGGCTGAGGGCAGTGGCATAATCACGGCTCACTGCAGCCTCGACCTCCCAGGCTCAGGTGATCCTACCATCTCAGCCTCTCAAGTAACTGAGACTACAGGTGGGTGCCACCATGCCCAGCTAATTTTTTGATTTTTTGTACAGATGGGGTCTTACTATGTTGCCCAGGCTGGTCTCCTGGGCTTAAGTGATCTGCCCATCTCGGCTTCTCAAAGTGCTGGGATTACAGGCGTGAGCCACGGCGCCCAGCCTCCCAAAGTGCTGGGATTACAGGCACGAGCCACGGTGTCTGGCCACAGTTACTACTTCAGCCAGGCTTTCAACAACAGCCAGCTCAACATCCACAGTCATGTTCCCATGGACAGTTTAAACCTTTGCTATGAGGAGATGAAATGGCACTTTGCTTCTGTGGTCTTGCCTGCAATGACCCATAACTCAGTCTAGTCATGAGCAAAACATCGGACAATTTCCAGTAGTGGGAGTACCCTTGAAAATAATGGACCACTACCCTCAAAACTGACAAGGTCATGGAAAACCAGCAACATCTGAGAAGCTGTGACAGCCAAGACAAACCTAAAGATACATGACACCTGCCGGGCACGGTGGCTCACGCCTGGAATCCCAGCACTTTGGGAGGCCAGGTGCGGTGGCTCATGCCTGTAATCCCAGCATTTTCGGGGGCCGGGCGTGGTGGCTCACGCCAGTAATCCCAGCACTTTGGGAGGCCAGGCGGGCGGATCACGAGGTCAGAAGATTGAGACCATCCTGGCTAACACAGTGAAACCCTATCTCTACTAAAAATACAAAAAATTAGCCAGGCGTGGTGGCGGGCGCCTGTAGTCCCAGCTACTCGGGAGGCTGAGGCAGGAGAATGGCGTGAACCCGGGAGGTTGGAGCTTGCAGTGAGCCGAGATTGTGCCACTGCACTCCAGCCTGGGCAACACAGCGGGACTCCATCTCAAAAAAAAAAAAAAAAAAAAAAATAAAGATACATGACACCTGAATGCAATGTGAAATCTTTTTGTGTGTGTGTGTGTGAGATGGAGTCTCGCCCTGTCGCCCAGCCTGGAGTGCAGTGGTGTGATCTTGGCTCACTGCAACCTCTGCCTCCTGGGTTCAAGCGATTCTCCTGCCTCAGCCTCCCAAGTAGCTGGGATTACAGGCGTGTGCCACCAGGCCTGGCCAATTTTTTCCATTTTTAGTAGAGACGAGGTTTCACTGTGTTGGCCAGGCTGGTCTCGAACTCCTGACCTCAGGTGATCCACCCACCTCAGCCACCCAAAGTGTTGGGATTACAGGCGTGAGCCACCGCGCCCAGCGATTGTTGCATTTTCAGTAGAGACGGGGAATTCACCATGTTGGCCAGGCTGGTCTCGAACTCCTGACCTTGGGTGATCCACCCGCCTCGGCTTCCCTAAGTGTTGGGATTACAGGCGTGAGCCACCACTCCCAGCCGCAATGTGAAATCTTGAATGGGATCCTGGAACAGAGAAAGACTATCAGGTAAAAACTAAGAAAATGTAAATAAACTGTAGACTGTAGCTGGGAATGTGTCGATATTTGTTCATTAATGGTAAGAAATGTGCCATACTAATGTAAGATGTTAACTCTGGGGGAAGTGGGGTGCCAGATGGCTGAGAACTCTCTGAAGCAATCATCAATTTTTTTTTGTTTGTAAATCTAAAACTTCTTGAAAAATACTCTATTAAAAATAAGAAAAAAATCACACCAGGGCTGTGGACCCTGGATGTTTCCTTACCTGTCACTACCAGCTCCAGGGTGTCACTGTACCGGAACCTGTAGTGCCCTATCCTATATTGGCACTGATAGCGCCCTGCCTTGTTTGCGTCCATGTGGTCAATGACGAACTCAGGATCAGTCTCATTCCAAAACTTCAGTCTTCTGCCTATCTCTCGGTACGTGGAGTTTTTTATGATCATCAGCTGGGTCAGGTAAGCTTCACGAATGGCCTGGCACTGGATTTTCACAGATCCATCCAAGGGAATCACAGGACTCGATTTGGCAGATATGAAAGGCATGGGAAAGTCCCCTGGAAGAAAAGAAAGCCCAGACTGAGGTGGCTTGCCATGGGGAAGCCATTCCTTTCCTTCTCTGTGGGAGAAGTAAAAATACATTAGGGTGTGAAGAACCTACCATTCTTTATTTAAAAAAAAATTTAGGCCGGGTGCGGTAGCTCACGCCTGTATTCCCAGCACTTTGGGAGGCCGAGGCGGGTGGATCACAAGGTGACGATATCAAGACCATCCTGGCTAACACGGTGAAACCCCGTGTCTACTGAAAATACAAAAAATTAGCAGGACGTGGTGGCGGGCGCGTGTAGTCCCAGCTACTCGGGAGATTGGGGCAGGAGAATGGCGTGAACCTGGGAGGCAGAGCTTGCAGTGAGCCGAGATCACACCACTGCACTCCAGCCTGGGCAACAGAGTGAGACTTCGTCTCAACAACAACAACAAAAAAATTAAAAAAAGAGAAAAATTTAAATAATTTGTGATGCTGAGGTTTGGAGTACGATTGATCCTGTCACCCAGGTACTGAGCATAGTACCCAATAGGCAGTTTTTCAACCCCCTTTCTTCCCCCCCATCTAGTAGTCTCCAGTGTCTATGGTTGCCATCTTTATTTTTTATTGTTATTATTTTTCGAGACAGAGTCTTGTTTTGTCGCCCAGGCTGCAGTGCAGTGGTGCAATCTCAGCTCCTCCGCCTCCCGGGTTCAAGCAATTCTGCTGCCTCAGCCTTCCGAGTAGCTGGGATTACAGGTGCCCACCACCATGCCTGGATAATTTTTGTATTTTTAGTAGAAACGGGGTTTCACCATGTTGGCCAGGCTGGTCTTGAACTCCTGACTTCAAGTGATCCACCTGCCTCGGCCTCCCAAAGTGCTGGGATTACAAGCGTGAGCCACCGCACCTGGCTGCAACTGGGGTTTTTGCAGAGGCAACACTGAAGCCAGGGGGACCTCCGCAGGCATTGACCCCAGAGCAGTCGGGTGCCGTTACCACAGCCCCCGCAGAGGCCACGGGCATGGTGCGTGGGAGCAGTGAGATGGCTCCACCTGCCGTTACTCCACAAGGCTCAAGGCCAGTTTCCAGCATAGTGGCCCAGCTTCTGCCTGAACTCTGCCCGGGGTCGTGGCTGCATGCTTCCCTGGAAAGCACCCAGATGGTGAAGTGGGTGACTCCACCCACCCCTGCCACTTGCAGCCAGACGGGCCAGGCTTGCTGGGTCTTCCAGCGCTGCAGACCCCCTTCTGCCTGAACTCTGTGGGGTGTGCAGCTCTGTGTTTTTCTTTTCTTTTCTTTTTTTGTTGAGATGAAGTCTCACTCTGTTGCCCAGGCTGGAGTGCAGTGGTGTGATCTTGGCTCACTGCAAGCTCCGCCTCCCGGGTTCACACCATTCTTCTGCCTCAGCCTCCCGAGTAGCTGGGACTACAGGCGCCCGCCACCACGCCTGGCTAATTTTTTTTTGTATTTTTAGTAGAGACGGGGTTTCACCATGTTATCCAGGATGGTCTCAGTCTCCTGACTTCGCAATCTGCCCATCTCGGCCTCCTAAAGTACTGGGATTACACGTGTGAGCCACCATGCCCAGTAGCTCTGTGTTCCCCTGGGAAGCACTGAGATGGCAGATCATGTGGCTCCAATCACCCTTGCTGAGAAGGACTCACCACGTTAGGTGGCGACCAAGCCGTGAGGAGCCCTCATTCTCAGAACGTTCAGAGGGGTGAAACACCTGATTTCATCAGCCTGCAGAGGTGCGGGGTGGTCCTCCCTCCATAGGGCTGGCCGGGGAAGGATACAGCCTGTCTGCCCACCATGCCCTGCCTGAGGGAGCCCCGTGGGCAGAACAATCCTAACAAAGGAAACAGTGGGTGCAGAGCCAGTGACTGTAGGAGGCTCCTCCAAGGCCCAAGAATGGACCAGGCGAGGGAGTCACCCCTCCTCACAACCACAGAGCACTACTGCCGACTTTGTCAAAATACAAGAGTTAGGGGGCCAAGGCAGGCAGATTGCTTGAGCCCAGGAGTTTGAGACCAGCCTGGTAAACATGGTGAAACCCCATCTCTACAAAAAAAAAAAAAAAATTACAAAAATTTTCTCTTTATGGTGCTGCGTGCTTGTAGTCCCAGCTACTCAGGAGGCTGAGGCAGGAGGATCACTTAGCCTGATAGGTAGAGGCTGCAGTGAGCCGAGATTGTGCCACTGTGCTCCAGCCTGGGCGACAGAACAAGACCCTGTGTCAAAAAACGAAACAAAAAACGAAACAAAACTACAAAAGAGCCTTGTGGCTAAGATCCTGTATGCTGGCCAACCCTTTTAAGTGCCACCTACTGGATCACACTTCAAAATACAACACTGAAAAATTTTGCCAGTATACAATGAAGGGAAAAATTCAGCCACAAATAAAGATCCTGTGCAGAGTCCTGGCATCTGAAAACACCCAGAAATGAAGCCAAGCGACTGTACTCAACCGACATCACAGTTAAAGGAACACCAGCCCTCACACAAGAGAAAGAATCAACACCAAGGCCGGGCGCGGTGGCTCACACCTGTAATCCCAGCACTTTGGGAGGCTGAAGTGGGCAGATCACCGGAGGTCAAGAGTTTGAGACCAGCCTGACCAACGTGACAAAACCCGGGCTCTACTAAACATACAAAAATTAGCCGGGCGTGGTGGCACACACCTGTAATCCCAGCTACTCAGGAGGCTGAGACAGGAGAATCGCTTGAACCCGGGAGGTGAAGGTTGCAGCAGTGAGCTGAGATCGTGCCACTGCACTCCAGCCTGGGCGACAGAGTAAGACTCTGCCACAAAAAAGAAAAAAAAAAGAAAAAAAAAAAAGAATCAACACAAGAACTCTGGCAACTCGATAGTTCCCCAGAAATCTGGTTCTTAGCTACATTGAGATGAATGAAACGAGGGTTATAGAATTCAGAATCTGGATGGCCAGGACGCTCTTCGAAATTGAGGAGAAATTTGAAACACAATCCAAGGGGTCCATGGTGGGGACACACTGGCTTTTTGAGTTCCCAGAATTCTTTTTCATGTGTGGGGGCCCGGTCATTATGCCACAGCCATCAGACAGAGAGGAGTCCAGTCTCTCTTCCCCGTGAGCTCCCACCCCCACTTTACCAGGCAGAGCCCCCAGCTCGGGAGTGCAGAGCAGCTGCCCCGCCCTCAGCACACTCACTGGTGGTGGCTCGTGTTTCCCTGGGGAGTGGCTCCCAGAGGCAACTGACAGCCCCTCTGCCACTGCCATGGCAAGGGTTCTGCCTCTGCTGCCCGTGATCTGGGGAAGAAGCAAGGAGCCTGGGGCCTTCATTCATGCTTCAATTTATTTATTTATTTATTTATTTATTTATTTATTTATTTATTTATTTATTTGAGACGGAGTCTCGCTCTGTCGCCCACGCTGCAGTGCAGTGGCCCGATCTCGGCTCACTGCAAGCTGCGCCTCCCGGGTTCACACCATTCTCCTGCCTCAGCCTCATCCTCCTCCCGAGTAGCTGGGACTACAGGCGCCCGCCACCACGCCCGGCTCATTTTTTGTGTTTTCAGTAGAGACGGGGTTTCACCAGATTAGCCAGGATGGTCTCGATCTCCCGACCTCGTGATCCGCCCGCCTCGGCCTCCCAAAGTGCTGGGATTCCGGGCGTGAGTCCACCGCGCCCGGCCTTCATTCATGCTTCCAGCACACCGCAGTCGCCATACGGAGAGGAGCTCAGTCTCCTCTCCCTGTGAGCCCTCAACCCCCTGCTCTTCAACAAGCCCCAGCTTGATTCCGCGGCACAACAGCCCCACCCTCTGGCGGAGCGTTCCCAGCAGCTGTGAGTCTGCGTTTCTCTGTGGCGGAGCTCCCAGAGGCAACGGAAGGTCACTCTGCCGCTGCCACTGCGGTGGTACTGGCCTTGCTGCCCTCAGACTGGGGAAGGAGCAAAGACTCTGAGTGCTTCAACCACACCTCCGGCAAACTGCCCTAAGGAGAAGAGGCCAGTCTGTCACCCCTGTGACCCACCTGTCCCCCCTGCTCATCACTAGGCAGGGCCCCTAGCTTGGACCCACAGTGCAGTCGCCTCACTCTTGGCTCATCGCACTGATAGTGGCTCCACATCTCTCTGGGGTGGAGTTCCAAGGGACAAGTGAAAGGCCGTCTGCCACAACCGCTGCTAAGGTCCCTTCCCCTGCTGCCCCCAAGCCACGGAGGGAACATAAAGTCTGAGCTCACCCCAGAGCTGTGATGTGCAGCCTGGGAGTGCCGAGCCCAGATCTGCAGCCAGCACTTGGGTGGGAGAGGAGCCCGCACTTTCAGAGCGTGAGAGGGAGCACAGCGGCAATCATGAGGAATGACCTACTGGCCGTTGTGCTGAAGCATCATTTACCGGATTGCAGCCCAAACTTCAACACCAAAAATGCTCGCTAATATACCTCCCTGTGAAACCAAGGACAAGAATTTAGCTATAAATAAAGACCCTGTGCGAAGCCCCAGCCCTCTGAAACCATCCAGAAAAGAAGTCTACTGACTGTGCTCAAATTACATCACGGTTAAAAGAAAAAAGAAAAAAATTCAAATTGCAGCACACTCAAAGGAACATTAGCCCACATGGATGAGAAAGAACTGAGCAAGAACTCCATCAACTCAAAAAGCAACAGTGTCTTCCTTCCTCCAAATTACCACACAAGCTTCCCAGCAAGGGCTCTTTACCTGGCTGAAATGACAGAAATAGAATTCAGAATATGGATAGAAATTAAGGTCATCAAGATTCAGGAGAAAGTTGAAACCCAATGCAAGGAACCTAAAGATTACAATAAAATGACAGAGGGGCTAATCTATGAGATGGTCATTTTGAAAGAACCAAACGGATCTGATGGAGCTGAAAAACACACTACGAGATTTCATAATGCGATCACAAGTATTAATGGCAAAATAAAGCAAAATAAGGAAAGAATCTCAGAGCATGAATACTGGCTCTCTGAACTAATTCAGTCAGACAAAAATGAAGAAAAAGAATAAAAATTAATGAACAAAACCTCTAAGAAATATGGGATCATGAAAAGAGACCAAATAGCCCATTGGCATCCCCGAAAGAGATGGGGAGAAAGCAAGGAACATGGAAAACATATTTCAGTGTATTGTTCATGAAAACTTCCCCAACGTCACTAGAGAGGCCAAGAATCAAATGCAGGAAACAGAGAACCCCTGCAAAATACTACACAAGAAGAGCATCCCCAAGACACAAAATCATCAGATTCTTCAAGGTAGAAATGAAAGAAAGAAATGTCGGCCGGGCGCGGTGGCTCACGCCTGTAATCCCAGCACTTTGGGAGACCAAGGCGGGCGGATCACGAGGTCAGGAGATTGAGACCATCCTGGCTAACATGGTGAAACCCCATCTCTACTAAAAAAATATAAAAAATTAGCTGGGCGTGGTGGTGGGCACCTGTAGTCCCAGCTACTGGGGAGGCTGAGGCAGGAGAATGGCGTGAATCCGGGAGGCGGAGCTTGCAGTGAGCCGAGATCACGCCATTGCACTCCAGCCTGGCAGCCTGGGCAACAGAGCAAGACTCAGTCTCAAAAAAAAAAAAAAAAATGTGAAAAGGCAGCAAAAAAGAAGGGGCAGGTCACCTACAAAGGGAATGCCATCGAGCTAACAGCAGACCTTTCAGCAGAAACTCTACAATCCAGAAGAGATTGGGGGCCTATATTTAATGTTCTTATGAAAAGAATTTCCAACCAAGAATCTCATTCCCAGCCAAACTAAGTTTCATAAGTGAAGGAGAAATAAGATCCTTTACAGACAAGCAAATGCTGAGGGAATTTATTACCATCAGGCCTGCCTTACAAGAGGTCCTAAGAGGAACGCTAAATATGGAAAGAAAAGACCATCACCAGCCAATAGAAAACACACTTACGTACATAAACCAGTGACACTATAAAACAACCACACAAACAAGTCTGCATAATAACCAAACCAGCTAACAACATGATGACAGGAAAAAATCTGCACATGTAAATGCTAACTTTGAATGTAAATGGACTAATTGTCCTAATTAAAATGCAGAGAGTGGCAAGTTGGATAAAGAAGCAAGAGGCCAGGTGCAGTGGCTCACGCCTGTAACCCTGGCACTTTGGGAGGCTGAGGTGGGTGGATCATTTGAGGTCAGGAGTTCGACATTAGCCTGGCCAATGTGATGAAATCCCATCTCTAATAAAAAAAAAAAATAGCTGGGCGTGGTGGTACACACCTGTAATCCCAGCTATTTGGGAGGCTGAGGCAGGAGAATCATTTGAACCTGGGAGGCAGAAGTTGCAGTGAGTCAAGATCATACCACTGCACTCCAGCCTGGGTGACAGAGTGAGACTCCATCTCAAAAAAAAAAAAAAAAAAAAAAGCAAGACTCAACATTATGCTGCCTATAAGAAACCCATCTCATATGCAATGACATCCATAGGCTCAAAGTAAAGAAATGGAGAAAAATCTACCAAGCAAATGGAAAGCCAAAAAAAAAAAAAAATGCAGGAGCTGCTATTAAAATTTCAGACAAAACAGACTTTATACCAACAAAGATCAAAAAAGGCAAAGAAGGGCATTAAATCATGGTAAAGGGTTCAATTCAACATGAAGACCATAGCAGGACAGTGGCCACGGAAGTCGGAATCTGCTAAGGAGTGTGTAATAGCCCAACTGCTGAATCAAAAAGAAAAAGAAAAAAAAAATTAAAAAAAGAGCATGAAGACCTAACTATCCTAAATATATATGCACCTAACATGGAAGCACCCGGATTCATAAAGCGTGTTCTGAGAGACCAACGAAGAGACTTAGACAACCACACAATAATAGGGGGAGACTTTAACATCCCGCCGACAGTATTAGATCATTGAGGCAAACAGAGATATTCAGGACCTGAACTCAGCAGTGGATCAAATGGACCTGACAGACATCTACAGAACTCTCCACCCCCAAAACAACAGAATCTACATTGTTTTCATTGCCTCATGGCACATACTCTAAAGTCAATCATACAATCAGACATACAGCAATCCTTAGCAGGCTGGGCACGGTGGCTCACACCTGTAATCCCAGCACTTTGGGAAGCCAAGGCTGGCGGATCATGAGGTCAGGAGATCGAGACCATCCTGGCTAACGCAGTGAAACCCCGTCTTTACTAAAAATACAAAAAAAATTAGCCGGGCGGGGTGGCGGGCACCTGTAGTCTCAGCTACTCAGGAGGCTGAGGCAGGAGAATGGTGTGAACCTGGGAGGCGGAGCTTGCAGTGAGCCTAGATTGCGCCACTGCACTCCAGCCTGGGCGACAGAGCAAGACTCCATTTCAAAAAAAAAAAAAACAATCCTTAGCAAATCCAGAAAAGCGAAATCAGAGCACAGTGGAATAAAAATAGGAATAAATACTAAGAAAACCACTCAAAACTGTACAATGCATGGAAATTAAGCAGTCTGTTCTGGAATTTTTGGGTAAATATAGCAGAATCTCTGGGACACAGCTAAGGCAGTGTTAAGGGGGAAGTTTATAGCACTAAACTCCCACTTCAAAAAGCTAGAAAAAGTTCAAATTAACAACCTAACATCATAACAAGAGGAACTAAGAGAACCAAGAGGAAATCAACCCCAAAGCTCATAGGAAACAAGAAATAACCAAAATCAGAGCTGAGCTGAAGGAGATTGAGACACGAAAAAGCATTCAGAAGATCAGCAAATCGAGGAGTAGAATTTTTGAAAAAATTAGTAAGACAGATGACTAGTTAGACTAATAAAGAAGAAAAGAGAGATGATCCGGATAAACACAATTAGAAACAACAAAGGGTATATTACCACTCACCCCACAGAAATACAATCATCAGAGAATATTATGAACACCTCTATGCACACAAACTAGAAAATCCAGAATAAATGGAGAAATTCCTGGACACATACACCCTCCTGAGATCAAACCAAGAATAAATTGAATACATGAACAGACCAATAATGAGCTCCAAAATTGAATCAGTAATAAAAATCCTACAGACCAGAAAAAGCCCAGTACCAGACAGACTCACAGCTGAATCCCATCTGATATATAAAGAAGAGCTGGTACTATACCTACTGAAACGTTCCAAAAATATTCAGGAGGAGGAATGCCTCCCCAGCTCATTCTATGAGACCAGCATCATCTTGATGCAAAAACATGGCAGAGACACAACAAAACCAGAAAACTTCAGGACAATATCCTTGTTGAACATAAATGCAAAAATCCTCAACAAAATACTAGCAAACTATCCAGCAGCACATCAGAAAGCTAATCCACCACCATCAGGTAGGCTTTATTTCTGGGATGCAAGGTTGATTCGATATAGGAGTCTCGCTCTGTTGCCCAGGCTGGAGTGTAGTGGCGTGAACTTGGCTCACTGCAAGCTCCGCCTCCTGGATTCACGCCATTCTCCTGCCTGAGCCTCCCGAGCAGCTGGGACTACAGGTGCCCACCACCACGCCTGGCTAATTTTTTTGTGTTTTTTAGTATAGACGAGGTTTCACCGTGTTAGCCAGGATGGTGTCGATCTCCTGACCTCATGATCCACAAGCCTTGGCTTCCCAAAGTGCTGGGATTACAGGCATGAGCCACAGTGCCCGGCCAATATACACAAATCTTAAATATGATTCATCACATAAATAGAACAACCCTCCCCACACACATAATCCTCTCAATAGAGCTTTTGATAAAATTCAACATCCCTTTATGCTAAAAAACCTCGACAAACTAGGCATTGAAGAAACATATTTCAAAATAATAAGAATGATGTATGACAAACTCACAGTCAACATCATATTGAATGGGCAAAAGCTGGAAGTATTCCCCTTGAAAACTGGCAAAAGACATGGATGCCGTCTCTCACTACTTCTGTTCAACATAGTACTGGAGGTCCTAGCTAGAGCAATCAGGCAAGAGAGAAATAAAAGGCATCCAAATAGGAAGAAAGGAAGTCAAACTATCCCTGTTTGCAGGTGATATGATTCTATACCTAGAAAACCACAGTCTCTGCCCAAACACTTCTTAATCTGATAAACAACTTTAGCAAAGTTCCAGGATACAAAATCAATATATAAAAATCAGTAGCATTCCTATACACCAAAAACATCTAAGCTGAGAGCCAAATCAAGAATAGAATCCATTCACAATTACTGCAAAAAGAATAAAATACCTGGGAATACAGCTAACCAGGGAGGTGAAAGATCTCTGCAAGGAGAACTACAAAACACTGGTCAAAGAAATCATAGATGACACAAACAAATGGAAAAACATTCCATGCTCATGGATAGGAAGAATGAGTATTGTTCAACACACAAATAATTCAGGCTTTAGAAGGAGCTGGAAGAGAGAAGACATGGATGGACGTGGGGCTCACACCCATTAGGAGGCTAAGGCAGTAGTAGTTGGGGTGGCAGAATATTCAGTAGTACACTAAGACTGCCTCATGCTTAGTACTGCAGTAGTACTACAGAATGCTAGAGTGTTCAGTAGGGTTAGACTATGGCAGCATCCTTTTAAATGAAGTGACGGGAGGAAGTGGGTTGCTAAAACAAAATAGAATCAGCATAAGGAAGGATATTGGGCAGATGACTCCTGACTTCCTCATTCTTGCAGTTTGAGCATTCAGTAAATTACAGATCCTTCATGGACAGTCTAACACAGGCAAGGACTAACTATAAATCCAGGCCTGAGCATTAATGAGTCTGAAGGGTTTGGAGATAACAAAGTGAGATAGAAATTATGCAAGAGAAGCACAGCAGAAACAACTAGAATGGGGATTAAAATAAGAATGGTGCTTCAGGCTATTCTTCAATTTCTTTATCCTAGAGCTCCCAAGAGGGTCTAAAGGGGCTGGGAGAGATTTACAGGACACTTACCTTCCTGTGCCTGAATCCTCTGGCCCAGACAGAGCACTGGAAGAGAGAGATTTATGAAAAATCAAGCTTCCATTTCCAACCTTTACGACAAATCACCCTCTGTAATGACAGACCAGAAAAAGACCAGTACCAGATGGATTCACAGCTCAATCCCACCAGATATATAAAGAAGAGCTGGCATTTTTTTTTTTTTTTGAGACAGAGTCTCGCTGTGTCGCCCAAGCTGGAGTGCAGTGGCATGATCTTGGCTCACTGCAAGCTCTGCCTCCCAGGTTCATGCCATTCTCCTGCCTCAGCCGCACGAGTAGCTGGGACTACAGGCGCCCGCCACCACGCCTGGCTAATTTTTTTGTATTTTTAGTAGAGACAGGGTTTCACCATGTTGGCCAGGATGGTTTTGATCTCCTGACCTTGTGATCCGCCTGCCTTGGCCTCCCAAAGTGCTGGGATTGCAGGTGTGAGCCACTGCGCCCGGCCAAGAAGAGCTAGTATTATTCCTACTGAAACTATTGAAAAAAATCCTGGAGGAGGGACTCCTCCCCAACTCATTCTATGAGGCCAACATTATCCTGATAACAAAATGTGGCAGAGATACAACAAAAACAGAAAACTTCTGGATAATATCTTTGTTGAACATAAATGCAAAAATCTTCAACAAAATACTAGTAACCATATTTCTATATGGGGTTCTATCATATGTTTTCCTTCCACAACAATCACAGTTTTGAGGTTCATTCTTTATTTTTACCTTTCAGATTCCAGCCTCTAAGTCTCTCCTTGATAAGAACCTTGGGACCATCATGAATCCCAGATAACACACTATAGGTTTAATACAAATATTAAACCTTGAGCCCCACAAGCTAGCTTGGGCTTGGGTAGAGACAAAGTTATAGATACATTGACAAAGACGGCCTTTCCACTAAGGAGATCAGAATCTCCTTGGCAGCCACTAAAATCTCCTAGTCACACTGTTAAGAGACACCCTGATTATTTTGGGATTTCTCTATCTTCCCCTCTAACCCACTTTTACTCTGAAACTCACCAAGACACAGGAGGGTGGTCTGTTTGGGGTCCATCGTGCTGACACGGCCTCAGCCCCGTTGCTCTCCTTTCAATGCACATTAGCAGGATGACAGATATTCTTACGACAATAAGCTCCGCAGGAAGTATGAGGACAGAGCCCCTCGTCAGGGAATTTCCACATCTATTGCCTCACAACAAAGTGGAACAGTTCGTTGCCGAATAACTTAGTTCCAGGTTGCTCTTGGGTGGAGCCCAAGAGAAGACATATATATGTATATTTTTTTAAATAGAGATGGGGTCTTTCTATGTTGGCCAGGGTAGTCTCTAACTTCTGGCATCAAGAAATCCTCCTGCCTAAGACCTATATTTCTATTTATGTTTCAGATGAGAAACGAATGAGAAGTGAATTTTCATTAAGCCAGTGTCTAATGGTGTTCAAATTCATCTTTGAACCAGATGCTACATCCAAATAGACGGGCTTGGGACAGAATATAAGGTGGTGGATACCATACAGGCAGACATTGCCTTCACTGGGCCATTAGTCAAAAGCTCTGTGGCTTTGTCTGTTCTGAACCTATGTTTCATCTCTGAGATTCATGGTCTGAGTATATTTACTTGGACTTGACCAGGCATGCAGTATACCCTTATCCTGGAGATGATCTCAATGCCAGAGTGTGGAGGCATTTTCTCTGGCACTATTTGTCATCTCTAAAGAAAGAATCTACTATTTTATTATACTTTTTTGTTTATTTGTATAAATTTAAGGAGCGCAAGTGAAATTTTATTACGTGGATATTTTGTGTAGTGGTGAAGTCTGGGCTTTTAATATAATTATCCTCAAATAATGTACATTGTTGCTCATTGAGTATTTTTTTAACTTTTATTTTAGGTTCAAGGGTACATGGGAAGGTTTGTTATACAGGTAAACTTGTGTCATGGGGGTTTGTTGTACAGATTATTTCATCACCTAGGTAATAAGCTTGGTACCTAATAGTTACTTTGCCTGCTCCTTTCCCGCCTCCCACCCTCCACCCTAAAGGAGACCCCATTGTCTGTTTTTCCCTTTTTTGTGTTCATGAGTTCTATTATTTAGCTTCCACTTATAAGTGAGAACCTGCTGTATTTGGTGTTCTGTTCTTGTATAGTTTGCTAAGGATAATGGCCTCCAGCTCCATCCATGTTTCCACAAAACATATGAACTCATTCTTTTTTTATGGCTTCAAATTAATTTTATTTTTATCTTATTATTTATGTTATTTTGATTGTAGACTCCTGGCTATCACGAATTCTTCAGGTATGGAGAGTGAAATATTCCTAATTAAACCTTCTACTATTTTATTTTATTTTATTTATTCTTTTTTTTTTTTTGAGACGGAGTCTTGCTCTGTCGCCCAGGCTGGAGTGCAGTGGCGTGATCTCAGCTCACTGCAAGCTCCACTTCCTGGGTTCATGCTATTCTCCTGCCTCAGCCTCCCGAGTAGCTGGGACTACAGGCATCCGCCACCACGCCCGGCTAATTTTTTTTGTATTTTCAGTAGAAACGGGGTTTCACCGTGTTAGCCAGGATGGTCTCGATCTCCTGACCTCGTGATCCACCCACTTCGGTCCCCCAAAGTGCTGGGATTACAGGCGTGAGCCACCGCGCCCCACTTTATTTTCATTTTAATACATCATAACTTAGCCCTTCCAACGCCGAAGTATTTTGAAGTCCTGAGCTTGTCCCATATTTCAGAAAGCCGATCAGCTTCCATGTTGACTGTTTCATTTGTGCAAATTTAAGTGACCTTTTGTTTTGCCACATTTTGTTAATTTCCACATACATATTTACGTTCGGGAAATTTGGAAATACTACGTTCTGGAAATTTGGTGTTGATGATTGCATGAAATTGACCGCATTCTAATTTTCTTTTTTTGTTGTTTTGTTACTTATGCCTTATTTATTCATTCCTTTGTTCTCACTTGAATGGGACTTTGGGTGAAAGACAAATAATGGCTGTACTCTTAGTTGAGTATTTAAAATGCAGAGATTGTAAAGGCAGGATGACCTAATTAAAAATACTATTGTTGGCTGGGTGCAGTAGCTCATGCCTGTAATCCCAGCACTTTGGGAGGCCAAGGCAGGTGAATCACTTGAGTTCAGGAATTTAAGACCAGCCTGGTCAATGTGGTGAAACCCAGTCTCTACTAAAAATATAAAAAATTACTTGGGTGTGGTGGCGGGTGCCTGTAATTCCAGCTACTCGGAAGGCTGAGGCAGGAGAGCCACTTGAACCCAGGAGGCAGAGGTTGCAGTGAGCCAAGATCACTGCACTCCAGCCTGGGCAACACAGAGCGAGACTGTGTCTCAAAAAAACAAAAGCTATTGTTATGGTTTACAAATGACGTGGCTTTCTATTGGGAGAGAGATACTTACTAATTGTTGAATTTCAGGAACTTCAGTGGCCAATATTTACTAATGGGCTGGAACAGATTTTGTCAACTTACCACAACATTTGGTGTGGTTTTGTTCTTTTGTTTCCTCCTTTTGTGGAACAGGAATGGTAACGTAGCCATGGGGTGCTGAGATATTTGGTTAAACATTATTCTGTGTGTGTCTGTGGGGGTGTTGCTGAATGAGATTATCAATGGAATTAGTGTAATTTATAAAGCAGATTGCTCTCCCTAATGTGAGTCGGCCTCATTCAATCAGGTGGGACCTGAATAGAACAAAACATTGAACTGGTAATGTAAGATGAAGTTCCTTTTGCCTGGACATCAGTCTTTTCTGGCTCTTGAACTCTCACTAAAACATTGACTCTTTAGATGTTAAGCCTGCCAGCTTTTTTTGTTTGTTTGTTTTTTTGAGATAGAGTCTCACTCTGTCACCCAGGCTGGAGTGCTGTGGCATGATCTCGGCTCACTGCAACCTTCACCTCTTGGGTTCAAGCAATTCTCGTACCTCAGCCTCTGAGTAGCTGGGATTACAAGCGAATGCCACTATGCCCGGCTAATTTTTGTATTTTTAGTAAAGATGGGGTTTCACCATGTTGGCCGGGCTGGTCTTGAACTCTGACCTCAGGTGATCTGCCTGCCTTGGTCTCCCAAAGTGTTGGGATTACAGGCGTGAGCCATCATGCCCGGCATGAGCCTGCTAGCTTTTGGACTGTTACGTATACCACTAACTCTACTGGTTCTCAGACTTTTGCACGTAGACTGGAACTACACGTGGACTCCCCTGGGTCTCCAGCTTGCAGATGGCAGATCATGGGACCTGTCAGTCTACATAGTTGCATAAGCCAATATATAAATACCCTATCTGTGTATCAATCATTATATATCTGTCATTATCCAACTATATGTCTATCATTATTTGTGATATCATTATATATCTATCATTATTTGTCTATCAATCATTATCTATATATCTATCATTATTAGTGTTGATTATTTTTTTTTCTGGAGAACCCTGACTACTATAGCTTCCATGTTCCTGTCTCAACTGTCACCAGTCCCCTTAGCACAGGGCCTATCATAGCCATTCTACGGCCCAAGGAATTACAAGCCACATAACTACAGGAGTCACAGTGACCCAAGGATTTAGACGGAGACACGGAAGAATTGAGGCATCTATTGGTCTCTGCATATTTTGGGATTTGGGATTTCCCAGCAGGGAAATTTGCCTTGAATCTGTCTAACTGGTCACTAAGAGTTGATTGGTAGGTTCCATTCTCCGTGCACAGCATAAACCCTAATAAGCCCAAACTGACTGGCAGTGGAGACTCTCAACCCTCAATGGGACCAAACTGTGACTGGCAGTGGAGACTCTCAACCCTCAATGGGACCAAACTGTGACTGGCAGTGGGGACCTTCAACCCTCAGTGGGACCGAACTGTGACTGGCAGTGGGGACCTTCAACTCTCAGTGGGACTTTACAGCACTCAGCTGCACCTGTGTGGAGAATTTGTCTCAAACACCTAAGAAGGAAGGAGGCCTTTGTTTCGAGGAAGAAGAAGGGGAGCTGCTTCTCTATCCACTGACCTCAGAGGTACCGGAGAGTGTCCAGTGAGGGCCTTAACTCTCTGCAGTATTTTTTTTTTTTTTGAGATGGAGTCTCACCCTGTCGCCCAGGCTGGAGTGCAATGGCAGGATCTCGGCTCACTGCAACCTCTGCCTCCCCAGTTCAAACGATTCTCCTGTCTCAGCCTCCTGAGTATCTCAGATTTACAGGCACCTGCCACCATGCCCAGCTATTTTTTGTATTTTTAGTAGAGACAGAGTTTCACCATGTTGGCCAGGCTGATCTCGAACTCCTGACCTCGTGATCTGCCCACCTCCGCCTCCCAAAGTGCTGGGATTATAGGCGTGAGCCACTGCACCCAGCCACTCTCTGCAGTTTTAAAGGCCATTTCCATGAATTAGAGTATACTTAGGCACTGAGGTAAGCATGGCACAGCTTTCTGAAAATAAAGTTGAAACTTAGAGGTTTCTTTTAGCTTTATTGAGATATGATTGACAAATGGAAATTGTATATATTTAAGGTGTATTACACTTGATGTTTTGATGTATGTATACATGGTGACATGATCATCATAGTCAAGCTAGTTATATCCATCATCTCGCAGGGTTATTGTTTTTTTTTTTTTTTTTTTTTGAGAGGAAGTCTTACTCTGTCCCCCAGGCTAGAGTGCAGTGGTGCCATCTTGGCTCACTGCAACCTCCGCTCCCAGGTTCCAGCAATTCTCGTGCCTCAGCCTCCTGAGTAGCTGGGATTACAGGCTTGTGTCACCACGCCTGGCTAATGTTTGCATTTTTAGTAGAGACAGGGTTTCACCATGTTGGCCATGCTGGTCTTGAACTCCTGACCTCAAGTGATCTGCCCGTCTTGGCCTCCCAAAGTGCTGGGATTACAGGCGTGAGCCACCGCGCCCGGCCTATGGTTTCTTTTTCTTTCTTTCTTTTTTTTTTTTTTGTGGTGAGGACCCTTAAGATCTACTCTCCCAGCCGGGCGTGGTGGCTCATGCCTGTAATCCCAGTACTTTGGGAGGCCGAGGCAGGCGGATCACGAGGTCAGGAGATCGAGACCATCCTGGCTAACACAGTGAAACCCCGTCTCTACTAAAAATACAAAAAATTAGCAGGGCGTGGTGGCGGGCGCCTGTAGTCCCAGCTACTCGGGAGGCTGAGGCAGGAGAATGGCGTGAACCCAGGAGGCGGAGCTTGCGGTGAGCCGAGATCGCGCCACTGCACTCCAGCCTGGGTGACAGAGCAAGACTCCAGCTCAAAAAAAAAAAAAAAAAAAAAAAATCTACTCTCCCATGCTTGCCTCGGCAGCACATATACTAAAATTGGAACGATACAGAGAAAACTAGCATGGCCCCTGCGCAAGAATGACACGCAAATTCGTGAAGTGTTCCATATTTAAAAAAAAAAATCTACTTTCCTGGTAAATTTCAAGTATAGAGTACAGTATTGTCAACCATAGTGGCAAAGCTGTACAAGAGATCTTCAGACCCATTCCTCCTGAATACCTGATAGTTTGTATCCTTTGATCAACATCTCCCAATTCCCTCCCCCACACTGTCCCTGTAGTTCTAGTGAGTTCCCCAGACTCTGATGTCTCAATTTCATTCAGTCACTTTCCTCCAGATACATCTACCCATTCCTACTGCATCTTAGTATCCTGAGCCTTGGGGGCAGTTTCTGTGCCAAGTGGAAATGTGGAAATGAGATATTACGAAGAAAAATCTTTGCCCACCTAGACAGGGATCTGATGTTTTCCAAGATGACACATGATTACATGTTGAAATGATAATATTTTGAGTCTACTTGTATAATAAAATAATATTTTGGATCTATTAGGTTAATATTTTGGGTCTGTTGGGTTAATAATATTTTGGGTCCATTGGGTTAACTTAAATTAATTTTATCTGTTTCTTGTTAGCTTTTTAATTTGGATACTAGCAAGTTTGAAAGAATGCATGTGGTTTGCATTATGTTTCTATAGGACAGAACTTACCTGTAGATGTAAGGGAGTCACAACAAAATTACAAGCATTGTTTTTGGTGGAAATGAGAAAAATGATTACAAATTTACATGGAAAAGCAAATAGCCAATAATAATAATAATGGCAATCTTAAAGAGGAAGGAGAAATTAGAGGATTCAGGCTGCCAAATTTTAAGGGGTTCTATAAGGCCACATAAAGTGCAGCATCCTCATGAGAGTGGACACAGAGAGCCACTGAGCAGAAAAGAGTGTGTAAAATACATCTGTGTACACACAGTCCTTTTATAGTTGACAGAGGCTGCCATGCGGATTAAGGTGGAATAGAATGTCTTCTCAGTAAATAACATTGGACCAGAGGGTTACAAGCAGGAAAAAATAAATCTAAGCTTATTTTCACACCATAAAAACACTGCTAATTTTTTATCTTATTATCATACATTTTGATGATTTATTTATAAAATTGATGAATGAAAATTATATACAGTAGTCCTTCACTATTCATGGGTGATTGGTTCCAGGAAACCCCCCTCCCTACCAGACACCAAAATCTGCAGATGCTCAAGCCTGTTGCATGAAATGGCACAGCATTTGCATATAACCCATGCACATCCTCCTGTATACATGAAATCATCTCTAGATTACTTATAATTCCTGATACAGCCTACACACCACCTCACTTGTGTCCACACAATATAGTATTTTTGCTTTTTGGAACTTTGTGGATTTTTTCTCTGAATATTTTTGATTTATATTTGGTTCAATAAACACCTGTAAACCCCACAGATATGGAGGAGCGACTGTATATTTATAGTATGAAAGATGATGTGTTGACATGTGTCCCTGTGGAGATGAGACTAACAAGGCCTATGACTCTACAAATGTTTCATCTTGGAATGACTCTGCCAGCTTTCCAGGTCTGCAGAGAGTAAGAATATCACTTGTTCATGTGATTCACGATCCTTGGAACCTCCTATGTGCTGCATCTTTGGATGGAAATTGGAGTCCCAGAGACAAATGAGGCTCCACCCTGCTTCCAGAAGCTCAGAGTCCAGGGCTGAGAACCCAGTAGAGAACATATCAGGTTATATGGACATAGTAATGATAACACTGGAAACTTTTGGCGAATAAAGAGTCACATTATCGAAACCATGAGGGCAGACATGTTTATTTGAAGAGGAGAGAGCTACACTGAAGTTATAAAAAAAATTTATAAATTTTACTGATGACAGAAGGCTGAAAGATAGTCTGAGGGGAGGTGGAACAGCATGAGGGAAGGTGGAACAGCAAGTGTGTAAGTGCCGTGTTAAGAGGGAGCCTCTTGCATGTTTGGAATTGTGAGTTCCTCAGTGTGATTGCAGCCTCAAGTAGGACTAGGAAGTAAGCCAGTTAGGTTGGAGAGGTGGGCAGGGGTCAAGTGAAATAGATACTTGTGGGCTAAGCAAAGGAGTGTGTTTTCTCTGCAGCAGGCAGTGGCGACCTTAGGCATTTGTAAGCAAGAGAGAGGCATGTTCAGATTCGTGGTGTGAGGAAGAGCGATCCCCTAAGATGCAGACTGATGCCTTCAGATTCCAGCTGCTGGTTCATTGGATCTGGCAACCTGGTTTTGAGACAGGGCTGTTGTCTCCCTAGAAAACCCCCTCAAGACCTGACTGTGGTGCTCGTGGGCAGGAGACAACTTTGGATCTGGGCTCAGCATTTGGAAGTTCCGTGTACACGCTGGTATCTGTTAGGGGTGTCTTGGGCCTCTGAGAAGGGCGACTGATTTTTCTCTGTATGAAAACGCAGTGATCCAACTGTGCGTACATCACCTCCTGAGGGTCTTGTTCATCAGAGTCCTGGAGAGAGGGAAATGCTGAGTGAGGGAGGGTGCTCACATTTTTCAGGACTATTAGGGATAAGACTGTATCCGTGAGGCTGGGCCGAGGAGGACCTACCTGCCTATTCACTGTTCTGTCCCCCGCAGGCTCTTGGTCCATTACAGCAGCATCTGTAGGAGACGGAAGTCATCAAAACCGCTTGGAGGGCCCTTCTGGGTCCTCATTTCATGGGCAGACACCAACCCACAGGGGGAGGCTGTAGGTGCCTGAGGCTCTTCAGCTGCCAACATCCAGACTCAGACATTCTATCTCTCTGAGTTCAAGACCCCATCCCATGAAGTGCTCTCAATTGGCATCCCATTGATTCTGTCTCCCACTTTCTGCCTGTCATGGAAGCTTCTGGATGTCAGTGGCTGCAGGGGATGTGAGGATACAGTTCAGAACCAGGCAATGGTCTGTGAGCTGAAGGCAGGGGCAGGTTGTCTGGTGCTCTCTCTAGAAAGCCCTGCCTCTGTGGCTCCTCCCTTGGGCCAGGGACCATCCTGCCAGTGAGGAACACACACCCGCGTGCTCCCATCCTGCTTCCCCACATGGCCCTGAGCTCTCTGGCCTCTGCTTCGTGAGACTTACTCTTTTTGTTGGAGCACCAGCGATAAAGGAGAAAGAAGAGGAGGAGGATGAAGAGGAAGATGACCACTGAGGTCCCAATCAGAACATGCAGGTGTCTGCAGATACCTGGAGGAAGATGGGAATCCAATAAGAAGCTAATCATAGCAGTTCCTCTTTATGGATTGTCTCATTTCTTGATTGACAGGTAACCACATGGAACATCTCCTTAGGACAAGCAGCCTGATGGCGGGAGACCCAGCTTTCTCCTGCTTTCTCAGTTACAGCTCTCATAGAAACCATAGAACATGCTGAGGATACAGCTGCTTTAGTTTAGATGTTTGACCCTTTGAAACCTCACACTGAAATATTGAAATTTAACCCCCAGTGTGGAAGTTTGGGCCTATGGGAAGGTGTTTGAGTCATGGAGGTGGATCCATCATGAATAGATTAATGCTGCCCCACATGATGGGGTTAGCAAGTTCCCCCTCTATTAGTTCCCGGAGGGCTGGTTGTTAAAAAGAGCTTGGAAGCTCCATCGCTCGCCCTCCCCCTTGCTCCCTCTCTTGCCATGTGATCTCTGTGGTCTCTGCACAGACAGACCCTCCTTCCCTTCTGCCAGAATGGGAGCAGCCTGAGGCCGTCACAGGAAACAGATGCTGGTGCCATGCTTCCAGTACAGCCTGCAGAACTGTGAGGCAAACAAATCTGTTTTCTCTAGAAGTTGCCCAGGCTCTGGGATGCAAGGCTGGTTCAATATATGCAAATCAATAAATGTAATCCATCATATAAACAGAACCAAAGACAAAAACCGGACGATTATCTCAATAGATGCAGAAAAGGCCTTTGACAAAATTCAACAACACTTCATGCTAAAAACTCTCAATAAATTAGGCATTGATGGGACGTATCTCAAAATAATAAGAGCCATCTATAACAAACCCACAGCCAGTATCATACTGAATGGGCAAAAACTGGAAGCATTCCCTTTGAAAACTGGCACAAGACAGGGATGCCCTCTTTCACCACTCCTATTCAACATAGTGTTGGAAGTTCTGGCCAGGGCAATTAGGCAGGAGAAGGAAATAAAGGGTATTGAATTAGGAAAAGAGGAAGTCAAATTGTCCCTGTTTGCAGATGACATGATTGTATATCTAGAAAACCCCATTGTCTCAGCCCAAAATCTCCTTAAGCTGATAAGCAGCTTCTACAAAGTCTCAGGATACAGAATCAATGTACAAAAATCACAAGCATTCTTATACACCAATAACAGACAAACAGAGAGCCAAATCATGAGTGAACTCCCATTCACAATTGCTTCAAAGAGAATAAAATACCTAGGAATCCAACTTACAAGGGATATGAAGGACCTCTTCAAGGAGAACTACAAACCACTGCTCAATGAAATAAAAGAGGATACAAACAAATGGAAGAACATTCCATGCTCATGGGTAGGAAGAATCAAGATCGTGAAAATGGCCATACTGCCCAAGGTAATTTATAGATTCAATGCCATCCCCATCAAGCTACCAATGACTTTCTTCACAGAATTGGAAAAAACTACCTTAAAGTTCATATGGAATCAAAAAAGAGCCTGCATTGCCAAGTCAATCCTAAGCCAAAAGAACAAAGCTGGAGGCATCATGCTGCCTGACTTCAAACTATACTACAAGGCTACAGTAACCAAAACAGCATGGTACTGGTACCAAAACAGAGATATAGATCAATGGAACAGAATAGAGCCCTCAGAAATAATGCCACATATCTACAACTATGTGATCTTTGACACACCTGAGAAAAACAAGCAATGGGGAAAGGATTCCCTATTTAATAAATGGTGCTGGGAAAACTGGCTAGCCATAGGTAGAAAGCTGAAACTGGATCCCTTCCTTACACCTTATACAAAAATTAATTTGAGATGGATTAAAGACTTAAACGTTAGACCTAAAACCATAAAAACCCTAGAAGAAAACCTAGGCATTACCATTCAGGACATAGGCATGGACAAGGACTTCATGTCTAAAACACCAAAAGCAACGGCAACAAAAGCCAAAATTGACAAACGGGATCTAATTAAACTAAAGAGCTTCTGCACAGCAAAAGAAACTACCATCAGAGTGAACAGACAACCTACAAAATGGGAGAAAATTTTCGCAACCTACTCATCTGACAAAGGGCTAATATCCAGAATCTACAATGAACTCAAACAAATTTACAAGAAAAAAACAAACAATCCTATCAAAAAGTGGGCAAAGGACATGAACAGACACTTCTCAAAAGAAGACATTTATGCAGCCAAAAAACACATGAAAAAATGCTCACCATGACTGGCCATCAGAGAAATGCAAATCAAAACCACAATGAGATACCATCTCACACCAGTTAGAATGGCGATCATTAAAAAGTCGGGAAACAACAGGTGCTGGAGAGGATGTGGAGAAATAGGAACACTTTTACACTGTTGGTGGGACTGTAAACTAGTTCAACCATTGTGGAAGTCAGTGTGGCGATTCCTCAGGGATCTAGAGCTTGAAATACCATTTGACCCAGCCATCCCATTACTGGGTATAAACCCAAAGGACTATAAATCATGCTGCTATAAAGACACATGGACACGTATGTTTATTGTGGCACTATTCACAATAGCAAAGACTTGGAACCAACCCAAATGTCCAACAATGATAGACTGGATGAAGAAAATGTGGCACATATACACCATGGAATACTATGCAGCCATAAAAAATGATGAGTTCATGTCCTTTGCAGGGACATGGATGAAATTGGAAATCATCATTCTCAGTAGACTATCACAAGGACAAAAATCCAAACACTGCATGTTCTCACTTATAGGTGGGAATTGAACAATGAGAACACATGGACACAGGAAGGGGAACATCACACTCTGGGGACTGTTGTTGGGTGGGGGGAGGGGGGAGGGATAGCATTAGGAGATATACCTAATGCTAAATGACGAGTTGATGGGTGCAGCACACCAGCATGGCACATGTATACATATGTAACTAACCTGCACATTGTGCACATGTACCCTAAAACTTAAAGTATAATAATAATAAAAATTTAAAAAAAAAGCTCATCAGAAGCACTATACAAAAAAAAAAAAAAAAAAAGAAGTAACCCAGGCTCAAGTGTTCTTTTATAGCAACAAAAATGGACTAAGACAGCAACGTCCTGAGATCAGGAGGAACGTCTCAGAACAGCCTGTGCTGTCTTCCTGTTCTTCCTGGAGGAGGACGTCATGCAGTGCTTTAGCTGAGTGCTTCCTGTGGCTTCAGGGTACAAAACCCAGGCTGGGCTATTTTCTGGCTTCCCCCAGATACACTGCAAATGAGGTGACTCCATATGTCCCGAGAAGCTTTTCTGAGCCTTGAGGGACTGGCTCACATTGAAATGTAGGCTTCTGTTGTCACTCGCTGCTTATCTGTTAGTAATGAACCTGCCTATGTAACGTATTCTCTGTGTGTTCTGTCTCCCTGGAGTGACGGTGAGTGATAGAAATTTGCATAGGCCCAGGTGCAGTACAGCAGGTGTTTAGAGTCTTCTCTGGAAAGACTGAACTGGGATTGATACACAGTGAATGTGCTTTACAGTTTCTACATCCACAACCCTCTTGACTCAAATTACATTCTCCAAGAAAAGGACACAAAAGTGAAATCAAGATCAAAAAAGCAAAGTAGAATTCTCTTATGTCAAACAGCCAGGAAATAATGATGAAGCCCATGTGAAACGTGCTACTCTTTGTGATCTCGCGAGACACATGTTAGGCTGCTGTTCCACCTGAGAGGCTGGGGGAAAGACCACCCCCTCCACCATCTATTGCTTCAAAACCACCTGTCCTCCTGTGAATTAGTAGGAAAGGGGAGCAGGAGCTAGTGCTGGTGCTGATCTCTGATTCCAAGATCTGAACTCACTCCAAGGAGTATTAGCGTTTACCTCCCCATGATCTATCTGTATCTCCACAGGTGATTGGAAGTAGGGGTGAGGTGGGGGATTTGGGTGAGGGGGCAAGTTTCTTGTGATGAACAGAGCACTTTCCCTATTTCAGGGCCTGTGCTGGTGGGTTCAGGGGGCTTTCATATTTTCCATATGATCTCATGTTCACAGAAAGCCAAATATGGAAGAGGTTTTAGGCTGATTTTCTAATGGATAAGATAAAGGATCAAAGAAGTAATTATAGAGAAATAGAAAAATGATGATTGGAATTCAGGTGCCTGCATCATTTGTGTATATTATTATATTTATGTATTTTTTATTTTTATTTTTTGAGCCAGAGTATCCCTGTGTAGCCCAGGCTGGTGTGCAGTGACGCGATCTCCACTCACTGCAACCTCTGCCTCCAGGGCTGAAGTCATTCTCCTGCTTCCTCCTCCAGAGTAGCTGGGATTACAGTCATGCACCACCATCATGCCTGTTTAATTTTTGTATTTTTAGTAGAGATAGGGTTTCTCCATGTTGGCCAGGCTGGTCTCGAACTCCTGACTTCATGTGATCCACCCGCGTTGGCCTCCTGAAGTGCTGGGTTACAGGCGTGAGCCACCGTTCACAGCCTTGTATATTATGCTATACTAGGTCCCTTCATTTGCACCACCCCTCATCTAGCTCTCCCTCCTCTGCCAGGTATTGATTTAGATGCAGGAGAAATAAATCTCAGAAATAAGTTAGTGAAGCGAGGATTAAACTACCAGGAAAAAATCAAACCCAGCAAGCCTTTCCAGCCAATGATTCTACCTCACAAACATATCTTATATCCATCTACTTCATTCATTTAGTGTCTAAATCAGCACCACATTTCACCAGTGGGGCGGGAATTGCCTTTTCCACGGTCTCCTAGATTCCAGTTACGCACCTGGGCCTCCCTTATTTTCATGTCAGTCATATTAATCATGTAGGGATTCCTGGTTACCCCGAGGTGAGTCCAATGGCTGTGAGTGTCAAACACACACTCCTTGTTGCTCCTTAGTTTCCTGTGTACCCAGTGTGCTCTCCGTCTCTCTACAGTCGTCTTGTCATTCTCCCCACGTCATTCCCAGCATTTGAGGCAGAGCCTCTTCCTTCAACATCAGATTATTTTCACCTTTGTGCCTTCACGGCTGACAGCTGTGTGTGCAAAATCCTTCCGCCCATCTTTCAGGGGTTCAATCCGTGTTTTTCATTAATGTCACAAATATCTGATTAGTGAGAACTTCTCTGTCACCTGAAATCATACACTCAGCATTATCTATTATTGATTTGAAAATTTGGCTTGGCCCCGTGGCTCATGCCTCTTATCCCAGCGTGTTGGGAGGCAGAGGCTATTGGATCACCTGAGGTTGGGAATTTGAGACCAGCCTGGCCAACATGGTGAAACATCCTCTCTACAGAAAATATGCAAAAAGAGTTAGCCGGGCGTGGTGGTTGTGGTCTGTAATCCCAGCTACTGGAGAGGCTGAGGGAGGAGATCCGTTCAGCCCAGGAGGTGGAGGTTGCAGTGAGCCGAGATCATGCCACCGCACTCTAGCCTGGACGACAGAGCAAGGCTCCGTCTCAATAAACAAGTAGGTAAATACATAAATAAATAGATTTCATGCACAGATGCTTCTCAATAGATCATTCATTTATTGGTCCCCTTGTGCCTACATTTTCTGCCCTCCCATTTAACCATCTGCAAGATCAGTGTCCCAAGAACAGAGGCCAAATGCATCTTGTTCACTGTTTGTGGAAGGCAGGAGAATGTTGTCCCACCCCAAAAATGTCCATGTCCTAGCCTCCATAGCTTGTGAATATGTTATTTTACATGAAAGGAGGAATGAAGATTGCAGATGGAATTATGGTTGCTAGTCAGCTGAACTTAAAAGGAGGGTATCCTGGATGATTTCCGGGAGATTATGATGGATTTTCATCTTGGTGAACCCAATAGAATCCCCAAGTTTTCAAAAGAAGGGGAAGAAGGGAGAGCAGCATTCAGAGAAAGAGGTGTGGTAAGGAAGAAGGGTCTGAGTGATGCCATGTGAGATGTGACCAGTCTTTGTGGGCTTTGAGGAAGGAGGAAGGGTACCAGGAGCCAAGGAACATGGGAGCCTCTAGAAGCTGAGAAAAGTGAGAAGCAGATTCTTGCCTGGAACCCTCAGAGGGAAGGCAGCCTTGCTGTCACCTTGATTTTAGCCCAGTGACATGCACGTCATGCTTTGAGCTACAGCACTGTAAGATAATTAAATAACCGTTTTGTTTTCACCCACGAATCTTGTGGAAATTTGTTATGGCAACAATAGGAAAAGCTTCCACACTGCACAGCCTGAGCATGGGGCTGTGGCTGAATGAGTCAGTGAGTCGAAGTGTGCGTGCATGAGCTCTGTTCTCTGTTACGGCAAGGCTCTTGCTCTGCTGAGTCAGCCAGGGTTGCCTGATGACCAACAGTAATTCATTCCTTGGCAAGTGGAACTTCTCTAAAACACCCACCCTCATCAGATGTTCCCTTCCCTTCCCTCTCTCAAGCCCCCGGGAATTTATCCTCCAGTTAGGAATGCAGGCAGAAAAAACACTGCATGTTTCCTGAGAAGGATGTCAGATTGGCAATTATTCTTCTAGCTTGTAGGAGGTCTCACCTGCAGGAAATTAAAGGTAAAGAGACTTCGCTGAGCCCTTTGGTGGCCCTAGATCCCTTTCACTGTTGGAGTGTCTGGAGTTCAGAGATGGTGGAAGACAGGCCCTCATTCACAGAGCTGGGAGGTTTGAGCCAACACTTGCATCCAAGGCTTCCACCTCCCCAGGTTTCCAAAAGCAGAGATAAGAGGGGTCCTTTACTCACCAGATTTGGAGCTTGGTTCTGTGGGTGAAGGCCAACTACTTGAAGGGTTTCCTAGAACACGGGACAGGAGAGATGTGAGGAAATGAGGGTGCTTGTCCTCTACTCAATGGAAATCTTTGAGGTTGGTTCATGGCCAACACTCTGTTATCTAATGTTGGACCCTGGGAGTCTTGGGATCCTTTTCTCCATAATTTTTGTGTGCGATGCCCACTGTCTTGAGACTTGAAGGTATAAAGAGAAAACAGGAGCATCACACTACCTGACTTAGAAATATGTTACAGAGCTGTAGTAAGCAAAACAGCATGACATTGGCATAAAGAAAGGCACATAAAAAATGGAACAGAATGGAGAACACAGATATAATCCATGCATTTACATCCAATGGCTTTCTTTTGTGTGTGTGTGATGGAATCTTGCTCTGTCATGCAGGCTGGAGTGTAGAGGTGCAATCTCAGCTCAATGCAACCTCCACTTCCTGGATTCAAGAAATTCTCTTGCTTCAAACTCCTGAGTAGTGGTATTACAGGCACTGATCACCATGCTCAGCTAATTTTTGTATTTTTAGTAGAGACGAGGTTTCACTCTGTTGGCCAGCCTGGTCTTGAACTCCTGGCTTTAGGTGATCCACCCGCCTCGGCCTCCCAAAGTGCTGGAATTGCAGGTGTGAGCCACCATGCCCAGCCCATTTAATGGACTTTGACAAAGGTGCCGAGAACTTACAATCAAGAAAGGACAGTCTTCAATAAATGGTGTGGGGAAAACTGGATATCTACATGCAGAGGAATAAAACTGCATCTATACCTGTCACCTTACACAAAAATCAAATGAAAATGGATTAAAAACATGAGTCTAAGGCCTGAACCTATGAAACATGTAGAAGAAAATAATGGGGAAGACATTTGTCTGACGAAAGACATTTTGTTTAAAACCTTCAAAACACAAGTAATCAAAGCAAAAAATAGACCATTAGGATTACATCAAACCAAGCAACTTCTGCACCACCAAAGATAAACCAACAAAGTGAAGAGACAACCCACAAAATAGGAGCAAATATTTGCAAACTATTCATCTGAGATGGGATTAATAACTGGAAATATAAGAAGCTCAAACAACTCAATAAAACAATTTAATTAAAAAACGAGCAAAAGACATGAGGAGACATTTCTCCACAAACAAAACATAGAAATGGCGATCACGTATATGAAAAAGTGCTCAGCATCACTCATCATCACAGAAATGTAAATTACAATCGCGATGAGTTTTCATCTCATCCCATTAAAATGCCTTTTAGGCCGGTGGCTCACGCCTGTAATTCCAGCACTTTGGGAGGCGGAGGTGGGCGGATCACCTGAGGTCGGGAGACCAGCCTGACCAACATGGAGAAACTCCCTCTCTACTAAACATACAAAAATTAGCTAGGCGTGGTGGCACATGCCTGTAATCCCAGCTACTTTGGAGGCTGAGGCAGGAGAATCAGTTGAACGCGGGAGGCAGAGGTTGCAGTGAGCCGAGATCACACCCTTGCACTCCAGCCTGGGCGACTATGAGTGAAACTCCATCTCAACATAAATAAATAAATAAATAAATAAAGTAAAATGGCTTTTATCTGCAAGACAGGCAAAACAAATGCTGGCAAGATGGTAGAGAAAGGAGAACCCTGGTACCCTGTTGGTAGGAATGTAAATTAGTACAACTATTATGGAGAAAAGTATGGAAAAACTTTAAAAAACTAAAAGGAGGCTGGGCATAGTGGCTTATGCCTGTAACTTCAGCACTTTGGGAAACCGAGGCAGGCACCTCACTTGAGGTCAGGAGTTTGAGAGCAGCCTGCCCAAAATTGGGATATCCCGTCTGTGCTAAAAAATACAAGAATTAGTCAGGCATGGTGGCGTGCACCTGTAATCACAGCTATTAGGGAGGCTGAGTCAGGAGAATCGTTTGAACCTAGGAAGCAGAGGTTGCAATGAGCCAAGATCGCACCACTTTGACTCCAGCTTGGACTAAGGAGGGAAACTCTTTCTCAAAAAAGAAAAAAAAAAAAGAGAACTTTCATAGTGTCCAGCAATTTCACTACTGGGTTTATATCCAAAGGAAAGGACATCAGTGTATCGAAGTGATATCTGCACTCATATGACTGTTCCAGCACTGTTCACAGTAGCCAAGATGTGGAGTCAACCTACCTGCCTATCAGTGGGTGAATGGATAGAGAACTGTAGTACACACACACGGTGGAGACTACTCATCCATAGAAACAATAACATCCTGTCATTTGCAGCCACATGGATGGAACTGGAGGTCATTACAAAGATTCCCATTTCTCACCACATGCAGGAGATAAAAGGTGGATCTCATGAAGGTAGAGAATAGAATGGTGGATACCAGAGGCCAGGAAGGGAAGGGTGGAGGGTAACAAAAAAAAGAATATAGATGTATTTATTTATTTAGAAACAGAGTCTCTCTCTGTCTCCCAGGCTGCAGTGCAGTGGCATGATCTCGGCTCAGTGCAACCTCTGCCTCCTGGCTTTAAGTGCTTCTCCTGCCTCAGCCTCCCAAGTAGCTAGGACTACAGGTGCATGCCGGCATGCTTGGCTAATTTTTCTTGTCTGTTTAGTAAAGATGAATTTCCCGCATGTTGGCCAGGCTGATCTCGAGTCCCTGATCTTAAATGATCCACCTTTCTTGGCCTCTCAAAGCGCCAAGATTACAACCGTGAACCACCACACCCAGCATATAAAGGTATTTATGACCACTAGATTTTACTTTTAAAAATGGTAAAGTTGGTAAATTATATAGTTACATTTAACCTCAATAAATATTTTTGAAAATGAAAAGAAAAGAGTGTAGGGGTTGCTGGTGATGACATCTCTCTGTGTGGGTGAGAGGCCAGGATGGGCTTCTGGGAAATGGGTAAGGTTGAGGGGCTGAGGGAACCTCTGATCTCCCCAAACTGAGCCCAGTCTCCCCTTCTCTGGGTCTGTCCTGACCGCTTTCTCCATCTGCCTGGGTGCCTGGAGCCCTGACCATGGGCCTCCATGCAGGCCATGCAAGAGGGTTTGGAGGTGCCCTGTCTGCCATCCTGCACCCTGACCCCCCCCTCACACCCAGTCTTCGTGTTCTCTCTGCATCTGTCCATGCTTCTCCCCATCATCGGCAGGAAGCTCCTCAGCTATGGCTCTAGGATCATAAGACATGGGACAGACACGGGTTTTCCTCACCTGTGACAGAAACAAGCAGTGGGTCACTTGAGTTTGACCACACGCAGGGCAGGGCACGGAAAGAGCCGAAGCATCTGTAGGTCCCTCCGTGGGTGGCAGGGCCCAGAGGAAAGTCTGCCTGGAATGTTCTGTTGACCTTGGGCACTGCACGGAGCCTACGTTCATGGGCCTCCCCTTCCCTGGACAGATGGTAGATGTCATAGGAGCTCCAGGAGCTACAGGACAAGGTCACGTTCTCTCCTGCCTGAACCGTGGGGCCCGGCTGGGCTGAGAGAGAAGGTTTCTCATATAGACCTGGAAGGAGAAGAGGCAGTTTCCTCAGGGAGGTTCTTCCTTGTCACAGCTCCCCTCATACCTGAGCTGAGAACTCACTCCCCTGCTCTATGACCTAATGCTCTCTCTCTCTCTCACCCTCCACCCCAACTCTCTTCATGTCTATTTCCTCCTTCCGCCTTCTCTGTCTCTCTAGGTCTCTGACCTCACTTCCCCACCCCTGGGTATGCTTTCCCTTTTTGGATTGTTTTATTCTCTCTGACTCTCCTTGGATTGGTTGACTTGATCTTCCTTTTTCTATAATTCTGAGTCTCTCACTTTCTGTCTTGTTCATAACTTTCTGCATATTTCTATCTATTATCTATCTATCTATTTTGTGTCTATCTACAAATTATCTGTCATCTATATCTATGTATCATTTATCTATCAATTGTCTATCTGTCTATCCATCAATCATCTATGTATTATCTGTATCTATGTATCATCTCTCTCTCTCTCTATTACCTCTCTGTCTGCCTGTCAGTCTCTATGTATCATCTATGTATCTATATATTTATATATGTGTCTTCTATCTATCTATCTTCATCATCATCATCATCATCATCTCTATGTATCATCTATCAATCATCATCTATGTATCTATAACCTATCCATTATCTATCATCTACCTATTTATCATCTATCTATATCTATCTATCCATCTATCATCTGTCTCTCTCCATCTCCTTGTCTTTCTCTGCCTCTCAGTCTCTCTAGTTCTATTTGGAATCTCTGCAATCCATCCCCACATCTTTATCTTTCTCTGTCTTTGTGCCCCTCCCTCAGGGTTCTGATTTTGGGGCTTTTCTCTCCTCCCTTCCAGCATTCTCTCCACTCCTCTGCCCTCTTTTCTTTCTTTTTGTGTGTCTGTGAGTCTCTCAATCCCCTTCCTCTGGCTCATTCTCTGTGTGTTTATGCCTTTGCTTTTTGAAGTCCCTGATTTATCTCTGTGTCTCTCAGTGATCCTATTATATGTAGGATTATTTGGAATATGAGCCTCAGAATCTAGTCTGGGGACACCAAGTACACACAGTATTTAGGGGTTGGTGTTCTGGGGCCATGATATCCTGGGATAATTATGGCTCCACTGCATGGAAGGCAGAGGTGTCAGAATAAACATGGCATCTGTAGATGCCACAAGGCCTGAGGCCACAGGGCCCAACTCAGGTCAGAAATATGGGTGTCCTTGGGTTCTCCTCGTAGAAGCACTTTGTGGAGACAAAACAGAAATGAAACTTCTAACCTGTGCCAGGTCTCTGAGCAAAGTCAGCATGGAAGGACACTTCTCTCTGGCACATGTCTGTCTGTCTGAGTGTCTCCTTTACCTCTTTCTCTCTTTTCTACTTCCCCGTATGGCCCCTGTGTCTGTCCTCTGTTATGACACCTGGTCTGTACTTATGTCTCCTGTTTCCCTGTCTCTGTTGGTACAGACCTCACCGAGTCAGTCTCTCTCCATAAGAATCCCACGCTTATCTTCCTCATGACCACCTGGGGGTTCCAAGTCCTGGATCATTCACTCTGTGTCCCAATGACAATGAGAAGAATGTCTGGACACTCTCACCTGTGATCACGATGTCCAGGGGGTCACTGGGAGCTGACAACTGATAGGGGGAGTGAGGAACAGAACCATAACATCTGTAGGTTCCTGCAAGGACAGGCATCAAGGGACCGATGGAGAAGTTGGCCTTGGAGACCCCATCATGGATCTGTCCAACGAGGCGTGAGGGGT
Source organism: Homo sapiens (assembly GCF_000001405.40). NCBI lineage: Eukaryota > Metazoa > Chordata > Mammalia > Primates > Hominidae > Homo > Homo sapiens. The sequence goes on along the minus strand of NW_016107304.1, from coordinate 182,951 downwards.
CCTCAGAGATCCCCTCTCTGTGCAGAAAGAAGTGCTCAAACATGACATCTGACCAACATTGCAGGATGACTGTCTCTCCTGATTTCAGCAGGGGCCCTGGGTGGGCCAGGAGGGAAGGTTTTCTGTGGTTTCCTAGAAAGAGAAGTTGTGAGTTTAGAAGGCATCTCTCTTTATCATCCCATCCATGGCACCTGGAATGAGTGAGGGTTCCCCTCCCAGAGGTCTGTCTCTCTCCTCCCTCTCTGTGTCTCCGTGTCTTTTCTGTGCCCATATCCCCTGGTGCAGGTCCCTCCATTTGTCTTCCTCCCTCTTCTCTGTCCCTCTGTCTCCAGTAGCCCCTGACTCCCTTCCCACTGTGAAGAGAGCCTCATCTCTTGGGCTGTTGTATCTCTTTCCCACTAGTCTCTTTCCTGCTGTCTATGTGGGGGTGGAAGAGGACAGGCTGCATGTCCAGGCTCTCAGCAGCCTGAATCAATCTCTTTTGAACAAATTGGAGTCTCTGGCAGAGGTATCAACTCATCAGTAAGGCAGACATCAGTGTCCACACACCCTGTTCCTGATGGGGATTGGGAGCCTCTCCTGCCATGTCTGTGCCTTCTCCATGGCCCCAGCTTCCATAGGGTGGTCCCTGGTGCTGGTTCCAGGAGCATCAACCCCTTCCTATGTGGATGGAGCCTGGTGGTGGCATCAGCATCCCACCCTTGCTGATCCCACGGTAGCCAACCTTCTCCTTGTTTGGTTTCTTTAATTAATTGATTAATTAATTTATTTTTGAGACAGTCACTTTTTCACCCAGGCTGGAGTGCAGTGGTGTTGTCTTGGCTCACTGCAACCTCTGCCTCCCCGGTTCAAGTGATTCTCTTGCCTCAGCCTCCCCAGTCGTTGGATTACTCGTGCCCACCACCACACCTGGCTATCCTTGTTTGGTTTCCTAGCTTGTCCTTGACCTGGGTTCCTGTGTCGGTTTCCTGTTGCTGCTGCAGAAAATTATCACAAACATGGCAGCAGGAGAGAACACACTGACCCCTTCCACTTCTGGGGACAGAAATTGGATCCAGTTCTCCCTGTGCTGAAATCAAGGCATCTGCAGGGCTGCGTTCCCTCTGGAGACTCAGCGAATCAGTTCTCTTGACTTCTCCAGCCCTTAGAGGCCACCTGCATTCTGTGACTAGTGGCCTTCCTCCACCTTCAAAGCCCACAGTGGCTGATAGCGTCTCCCTCCCACTACACTGCTCTAATCCCCACTCCCCTCTTCCTCCACCTCTCACGCGGACCCTTGTGATTACACTGAGCCCAGCAGGACAGTCCAGGCTGTCTCCCCATCTCAAGGTCAACTCATCAACAACCTGAGCTCCACCTTCCCCTTCAGTCCCCTGCCCTATAACATAAATAGTCACAGGCTCCAGGGTTTACAATGTAGCCATCATTGGCGACAGTGATTCTTCCCACCACAGCGCCCATTTCCCCTGTATTCAATCCCCCTTGACCCCAAATACAGTTGGGGCCTGGGTGATGGGACCCTGATGGACACCCCCACCAGAAGCTCTGGGATTCAGGAGGTGGGACAGTGAGAAGCCCAGACAGAAAGCCTCTGACCTGTGACCATGATCACCAGGGGGTTGCTGGGTGTCGACCACCCAGTGAGGGAGTGTGGGCGTGAACCCCGACATCTGTAGGTCCCTGCATGTGCTGGGGTCACAGGGCCCATGATGAAGCTCTCCTGGAATATTCTGCCGTGGAAGATGGGAACGTGGCTTCTGTCTTCTTTGTACAGCATGAAATTGTTAAACCCACGACGATAGTGACACTGAAGAGCCACGTGTCCTCCTCGAGGCACCACAGTGCTGGGCCGGGCAGACAGGAAGGGTTTGTCCTGACCACCTGGGGGAGAAGGAGGCACTGCCTTAGAGAGGAGGATGTGGAGCCACCCCTCCCTCCCTGTGCTCAGAAGATTCTCCCATTTCCACTTTCTAAGGCTCCTACCACACCTGGGTGCCCAGGGCTACAGGAAGGACCCACCCCACATAGACATGGCGTCTCCCTACAACAAGTGTCAGCTGAGAACTTTGAGCAAGTGCTGAATAAGTGACTCTTACTAGATTTTAATACTGCAAAATTACTCACATAAAACAACACAAAGTAGACACGGCATGGAGGGCATGTCCTATGTGAATGGAATATCAGCCAATTCATGAACTGAGCCCCCTCAGAGGATTTGGAATGTCAGGGCCATGGCTGTGGTTTCCCCCCTCTTCTGGTAGAAAGACCGCAGCCACACTGCAGTCCCTACCGTCACGGAAACGCTGGAGGGTGTCAGTTATACCTTTGTCCTCAGAGGACCTGCTGTTCCTAGCACTGCTTCCCTCTCTTTCTCTGCTGCTGACACCACTTCCTCCCTGCACACCCCAGCTTGGAGCACCCCAGTCTCACCCCAGTCTTCACAGAGCTTGACTCAGGAAAGGGAAAGAAAGGCCGGGGAGGGCGAGGTCAGAAATGTGGGCCGAGTATCCAAGGGTCCCCTCTTCCTAGTTTATGAGAGACTCCCCGACAGGACTTCCCTCCTGTTTCAGAAAAATCCTCTTATGTGGGGAGATGACACCCTAAGGTTTGGGGAAGGACTCACCCATGAGTGGCCAGGCCCCCTGCAGCAAGAAGAACCCTGGAAAGAAAGATCATGATAGACGATCCAACTGCAGGCAAACCAGGGCACCCTGCTGCCCCCACTGCACTGTGTGTCTTGGCAGCCAGGCCCTTGCTGGGCTGAAGGTAAACTTAGCCTCCCTGCTACCTGCTGCCAAGAACAGGGCTCTCAGCTGTGGAGAGACCCAGGCTCCAGGCCCAGATCAACACTTCCTGGCCCAGATCTCCACTCCAGGCCCATATCTCCACTCCAGGCCCCTATCTCCACTCCAGGCCCATATCTCCACATCAGACCCATATCTCCACTCCAGGCCCATATCTCCACATCAGACCCATATCTCCACTCCAGGCCCAGATCTCCCCTCTAGGCCCATATCTCCACTCCAGGCCCATATCTCCACTCCAGGCCCATATCTCCACATCAGACCCATATCTCCACTCCAGGCCCATATCTCCACTCCAGGCCCAGATCTCCACCTGCAGGCCCATATCTCCACTCCAGGCCCATATCTCCACTCCAGGCCCGTATCTCCACTCCAGGCCCATATCTCCACACCCAGGCCCATATCTCCCCTCCAGGCCCATATCTCCACTCCAGGCCCATATTTACACCTCCAGGCCCATATCTCCACACCCAGGCCCATATCTCCACTCCAGGCCCATATCTCCACTCCAGGCCCATATCTTTACCTCTAGGCCGAGATCTCCATCCCCACTCTCCCTCCCTCTATTCCCTTCCAGGACTCACCAACGCACGCCATGCTGACGACAGTGAGCGACATGGTGCTGCCGGTGCAGACAGGAGGCCGCGCCCCAGCTCAGCTCAGCAGCGCACAGGATGTTATTTGGCGCCCTGCCCATGCAGTTTACATGTTGACCACATCATGGGAGGGTGACGTACGCAGGCTCTTTCTACCTTGCATGAGGCCCAGTGGGTGCTCGCTCAAGAGCGGAACATGGCTTCCTGGAAATTGTTGTGACTACAATTGCCACCTTGCATCCTTCACTATGACCAGACTCAAAAGACGTCTCAGATCCAACCTCTCACACATGAGGTGATTGAATTCTGTGCTTACATTAAAGACTTTTGATGTATTTTTGTTTTTATCTGAGATTCAAACTTTTCTTCATGTGTAATGTGCAAAATATCTAAGAGGTATTATTAACATTATCAGAGTAATTGTGACAAAAAGCCATTCTAATTTTCCTGATGAGTTTCTAGTACTAAACCTGAGGCACGAGAATTGCTTGAACCTGGGAGGCGGAGGCTGCAGTGAGCTGAGCTCAAGCCACTGAACTCCAGCTTGGGTGACAGAGGAAGAGTCTGTCTCAAGAAAGAAAAAAAAAAGCAAACTAAATAACCTATAATAACAAATCAGAGAACTCAGGTTACCAAATTTTAAGGGGTTCTATAAGTTTATATGAAATGCAGCATCCTCATGAGAGGGGATACAGAGAACCACTGGGCAGAAAACTGTGTCTAAAATACATCTGTGGATACACAGTCCCTTCATAGTTGACAAAGGCTGCCATGTAGTTTAAGGTGGAATAGAATATTTTCTCAATAAATAACACAGGACCATAGGGTTACACGTAGGAAAAAATAAATCTAAACTTATCCTCACACTATAAAAACACTTCTTATTTTTTATCTTGTTGTTGTAAACTTTTTATGCTTTATTTTTAAGATTGACAAATAAAAATTATATACTGTGGTCCTTCACTATTCCTGGGTGATTGGTTCCAGGATCCCCATTCAGATACCAAAATCTGCAGATGCTCAAGCCCCTTGCATGAAATGGCATAGCGAAGCTGGGCACCGTGGCTCACGCCTGTAATCCCAGCACTTTGGGAGGCTGAGTTGGGTAGATCACGAGGTCAGGAGTTCAAGACCAGCTGGTCCAACATTCTGAAACCCCATCTCTACTAAAAATACACACACAAAAAAATTTATCTGTGCATGGTGGCACGTGCCTGTAATCCTAGGGGAGGCTACTGGGGAGGCTGAGGGAAGACAATCGCTTGAACCTGGGAGGCGGAGGTTGCAGTGAGCTGAGATCATGCCACTGCACTCCAGCCTGGGTGAGAGAGTGAGACTGTCTCAAAAAAAAAAAATAGCATAGTAATTGCATAGAACCCATGCACATCCTCCTGTATACATGAAATCATCTCTTGATTACTTATAATTCCTGACACAGCCTACACGCCACTCAATTTGTGTCGATTCAACATAGTTTTTTGCTTCTTGAAACTTCGGGGATTTTTTTCTGAAAACATTTTTGATTTATTGTTGGTTCAATAAACACCTGTAAACCCCACAGATATGGAGGACCGACTGTATATTTATATTATGAAAGATGATATGTTGATATGTGTCCCCGTGGAGATGAGGCTAACAAGGCCTATGACTCTACAAATGTTTCATCGTGGAATGACTCTGCCAGCTTTCCAGGTCTGCAGAGAGTAAGAATATCACTTGTTCATGTGATTCACGATCCTTGGAGCCTCCTATGTGCTGTATCTTTGGATGGAAATTGGAGTCTCAGAGACAAATCAGGCTCCATTCTGCTTCCAGAAGCTCAGAGTCCAGGGCTGAGAACCCAATGGAGAACAGATGGGGTTATGTGGACATGGTAATGATAACACCGGAAGCCTTAGGCAAGAAAAGAGTCTCGTTACCGAAACCATGAGGGCAGACATGTTTATTTGAAGGCGGGAAAACTACATTGAAATTATTTAAAAAATTTATAAGTTTTACTGCTGGCAGAAGGCTGAAAGATAGTCTGAAGGGAGGTGGAACAGCACGTGTCTAAGTGCTGTGTTAAGAGGCAGCCTCTTGTATGTTTGGAATTGTGAGTTCCTCAGTGTGATTGCAGCCTCAGGTAGACTAGGAAGTAAGCCAGTTAGGTTGGAGAGGTGGGCAGGGGTCAAGTGAAATGGAGAATTGTGGGCTAAGCAAAGGAGTGTGTTTTCTCTCCAGCAGGCAGTGGGGACCTTAGACATTTGTAAGCAAGAGAGAGGCATGTTCAGATTCGTGGTGTGAGGAAGAGCGATGCCCTAAGATGAAGACTGATGCCTTCAGATTCCAGCTGCTGGTACATGGGAGCTGGCAACCCGGTTTTGAGACAGGGCTGTTGTCTCCCTAGAAGATCCCCTCAAGGCCTGACTGTGGTGCTCGTGGACAGAAGACAACTTTGGATCTGGGCTCAGCATTTGGAAGTTCTATGTACATGCTGGTATCTGTTGGGGGTGTCTTGGGCCTCTCAGAAGGGCGAGTGATTTTTCTCTGTGTGAAAACACAGTGATCCAATTATGCGTATGACACCTCCTGATGGTCTTGTTCATCAGAATCCTGGAGAGAGGGAAATGCTGAGTGAGGGAGGGTGCTCACATTTTTCAGGACTCTTTGGGAATAAGACTAGCCACGAGGCTGGGCCGAGGAGCACCTACCTCGCTGTTCACTGTTCTGTTCCCTGCAGGCTCTTGGTCCATTACAGCAGCATCTGTAGAAGACGGAAGTCAACAAAAGAGCTCGGAGGGCACTTCTGGGTCCTCATTTCATAAGCAGATACCAACAAACAGGGGGAGGCCATAGGTGCCTGAGGTCCCTCAGTTGCCAACAGCAGACTCAGACATTCTATCTCTCTGAGTTCAAGGACCCATCCCATGAATAGCTCTGAGGTCCCATCCCATTGATTCTATCTCCCACTTTCTGCCTGTCATGGAACCTTCTCCTGGATGTGAGTGGCTGCAGGGGACGTGAGGATACAGTTCAGAATCAGGCAATGGTCTGTGAGCTGAAGGCAGGGGAAGGGAATCTGGTGCTCTCTCTAGAAAGTCCTGCCTCTGTGGCTCCTGTCTTGGGCCAGGGACCATCCTGCTGGTGAGGAACACACATCCGCGTGCTCCCATCCTGCTTCCCCACATGGCCCTGAGCTCTCTGGCCTCTGCTTCGTGAGACTTACTTTTTTTGTCGGAGCACCAGCGATGAAGGAGAAAGAAGAGGAGGATGGTGAAAGGGATTTTGACCACTGAGGTCCCAATCAGAATATGTAGGTGTCTGGGGTTACCTGGAAGAAGAGGAGACACCAATAAGAAGCTAATCATAGCAGTTCCTCTTTATGAATTGTCTCGCATTTCTTGATTGGCAGGTAACCACATACAACGTCTCTTTAGGACAAGCACCCAAATGGCGGGAGACCTAGCTTTCCCCTGCTTTCTCAATTATAGCTCTCATAGTAACCATAGAACGTGCTGAGGATACAACTACTTTAGTTGAGATGTTTGACCCTTTCAAACCTCACATTGAAATTTCACCCCCATTGTGGGAGGTTGGGCCTCTTCAGAGGTGTTTGGGTCATGGAGGTGGATCCATCATGAACAGACCAATGCTGTCCCAAGGAGACGGGGTTAGCAAGTTCCCCCTCTGTTAGTTCCTGGAGAGCTGGTTGTTAAAAAGAGCTTGGAAGCTCCATCGCTCCCTCTCCCCCTTACTCTCTCTCTTGCCGTGTGATCTCTGCGGTCTCTGCACAGACAGACCCTCCTTCCCTTCTGCCAGAGTGGGAGCAGCCTGAGGCCATCACGAGAAATAGATTCTGGTGCCATGCTTCCAGTACAGCCTGCAGAACTGTGAGGCAAACCAATCTCTTTTCTTTAGAAGTTACCCAGGCTCAAGTGTTCCTTTAGAGCAACAAAAATGGACTAAGATAGCAACATCCTGAGATCAGGAGGAATGTCTCAGAACAGCCTGGGCTGTCTTCCTGTTCTTCCTGGAGGAGGACGTCATGCAGTGCTTTAGCTGAGTGCTTCCTGTGGCTCCAGGGTACAAAACCCAGGCTGGGCTGCTTTCTGGCTTCCCCCAGTTACACTGCAAATGGGGTGACTCCATATGTCCCGAGCAGCTTTTCTGAGCCTTGAGGGACTGGCTCACATTGAAATGCAGGCTTCTGTTGTCACTCACTGCTTATCTGTTAGTAATGAACCTGCCTATGTAACGTATTCTCTGTGTGTTCTGTCTCCCTGGAGTGACGGTGAGTGATAGGAATTGGCATAGGCCCAGGTGCAGTCCAGGATTTGTTTAGAGTCTTCTCTGGGAAGACTGCACTGGGATTGATACACAGCGAATGTGCTTTAGGATTTCTACATCCACAGCATTCTTGAGTCAAACAAATTGCATTCACCAAGGAAAGGAAACAAAGGTGAAATCACGATTAAAAATAGCGAAGCAAGATTCTCTTATGTCAAACAGCCAGAAAATAGTGTTGAAGCCCGTGTGAAATGTGCTGCTCTTTGTGATCTCGGGAGACACATGTTAGGCTGCTGTTCTACCCGAGAGGCTGGGGGAAGGACCACCCCCTCCACCATCTATTGCTTCAATACCACCTGTCCTCCTGTGAATTAGTAGGAAAGGGGAACAGGAGCTAGTGCTGTCGCTGATCTCTGATTCCAAGATCTGGACTCACTCCAAGGAGTATTAATGTTTCCTCCCCATGGTCTATCTGAATCTCCACAGGTGATTGGAAGTAGGGGTGAGGTGGGGGATTTGGGTGAGTGGGCAAGTTTTTTTTTGCGATGAACAGAGCACTTTCTCTATTCCAGGATCCGTGCTGGAGGATTCAGCGGGCTTTCACATTTTCTATGTGATCTCATGCTCACAGAAAGCCAAATAGGGAAGAGGTTTTAGGCTCATTGCCTAATGGATAAGATAAAGGATCAAAGAAGTAATTATAGAGAAATAGAAAAATGATGATTGGAATTCAGGTGCCTTTGTCATTCGTGTGTGTTTTATTATATTTATGCATTTCTTATTTTTATTTTTTGAGACGGAGTCTCCTTGTGTCACCCAGGCTGGAGTGCAGTGATGCAATCTCCACTCACTGCAACCTCCACCTCCTGGGTTGAAGTCATTCTCCTGCTTCATCCTCCAGAGTAGGAGCTGGGATTACAGGGATGCACCACCATGCTCGGCTAATTTTTGTATTTTTAGTACAGATAGGGTTTCACCATGTTGGCCAGGCTGGTCTGGAACTCCTGACTTCATGGAATCCACCCGCCTTGGCCTCCTGCAGTGCTGGGTTACAAGCGTGAGCCACCGTTCACAGACTTGTATATTACGCTATAATAGGTCTCTTCATTTCCACCACCCCTCATATATCTGTCACTCCTTTGCCAGGTATTGATTTATGTGTAGGATGAATAAATCTCAGAAAGAAATTAATTAAGCGAGGATTAAACAAGTAGGAAAATCAAACCCAGCAAGCCTTTCCAGCCAATGATTCTACCTCACAAGCATAGCTTATATCCATCTGCTTCATCCACTTAGTGTCAAAATCAGCACCACATTTCACCAGTGGGTCGGGAATTGCCTTTTCCACGGTCTCCTAGATTCCAGTTACGCCCCTGGGCCTCCTTTATTTTCATGTCAGTCATATTAATCATGTAGGGATTCCTGGTTACCCCGAGGTGAATCCAATGGCTGTGAGTGTCAAACACACACTCCTTGTTGCTCCTTAGTTTCCTGTGTACCCAGTGTGCTCTCCGTCTCTCCACAGTCGTCTTGTCATTCTCCCCACCTCATTCCCAGCATTTGAGGAAGAGCCTCTTCCTTCCACATCAGATTGTTTTCACCTTTGTGCCTTCACGGCTGACAGCTGTGTGTGCAAAATCCTTCCGCCAATCTTTCAGGGGTTCAATCCGTGTTTTTCATTAATGTCACAAATATCTGAATAGTGAGACCTTCTTTGTCACCTGAAATCATACACTCAGCATTATCTATTATTGATTTTGAATTCTGGCTGGGCACAGTGGCTCACGCCTGTAGTCCCATTACTTTGGCATGCTGAGACGGTCGGATCACTTGAGGTTGGGAGTTTCAGACAAGCTTGGCCAACGTGGTGAAACATCCTCTCTACAAAAAATATACAAAAAGAATTAGCCGGGCACGGTGGCAGTTGCCTGTAATCCCAGCTACTCGAGAGGCGGAGGCAGGAGAATCACTTGAATCCAGGAGAAGCAGGTTGCAGTGAGCCAAGATCGTGACACTGCACTGTAGCCTGGAAGACAGAGGGCAACTCTGTCTCAATAAACAAAAGAACAAACAAAAAATAGATTTCATGCACAGATGCTTCCCAATGGATCATTCATTTATAGATCCACTTGTGCATTCATTTTCTGCCCTCCCATTTAACCATCTGCAATATCAGTGTCCCAAGGGCAGAGGCCAAATGCATCTTGTTCACTGTTTGTGGAAGGCAGGAGAATGCTGTCCCACCCCAAAATGTCCCTGTCCTAGCCTCCATAGCTTGTGAATATGTTATTTTACATGGAAAGGAGGAATGAAGATTGCAGATGGAATTATGGTTACTAATCAGCTGAACTTAAAACAAGGGTATCCTGGATGATTTCCAGGAGATTATGAGGGATTTTCATCTTGGTGAACCCAATAGAATCCCCAAGTTTTCAAAAGATGAGGAAGAAGGGAGAGCAGCATTCAGAGAAAGAAGTGTGGTAAGGAAGAAGGCACTGAGTGATGCCATGTGAGATGTGACCAGTCTTTGTGGGCTTTGAGGAAGGAGGAAGGGGACCAGGAGCCAAGGAACTGGGAGCCTTTAGAAGCTGGGACAAGTGAGAAGCAGATTCGTGCCTGGAATCCTCAGAGGGAAGGCAGCCTTGCTGTCACCTTGATTTTAGCCCAGTAAGATGCACTTCCTACTTTGAGCTACAGCACTGTAAGATAATTAAAAAACCGTTTTGTTTTCACCCACGAATCTTGTGGAAATTTGTTATGGCAACAATAGGAAAAGGTTCCGCACTGCACAGCCTGAGCATGGGGCCGTGGCTGAATGAGTCAGTGAGTCGAAGTGTGTGTGCATGAGCTCTGTTCTCTGTTACGGCAAGGCTCTTGCTCTGCTGAGTCAGCCAGGGTTGCTTCATGACCTACAGGAGCTCATTCCTTGGCAAGTGGAACTTCTCTAAAACACCTCGCCCTCATCAGATGTTCCCTTCCCTTCCCTCTCTCAAGTCTCCAGGAATTTATCCTCCAGTTAGGAATGCAGGCAGAACAAACATTGCATTTTTCCTGAGAAGGATGTCAGATTGGCAATCATTCTTCTAGCTTGTAGGAGGTCTCAGCTCCATAAAATGAGAGATGAAGAGATTTCACTGAGCCCTGTGTTGGGCCCAGATCCCTTTCGCTGTAGGAGTATCTGGAGTTCGGAGATGGTGGAAGACAGGTGTACAATGTCAGAGCTGTGAGATGCTGAGTCAACGCCTGAATCCAAGGTTTCCACCTCCCCAGGTTTCCAAAAGCGGATATAAGAGGGTTCTGTACTCACCGGTTTCGGAGCTTGGTTCAGTGGGTGAAGGCCAACTATTTGAAGGGTTTCCTAGAACATGAGACAGGAGAGAGGTGAGGAAATGAGGGTTTCTGTCCTCCACTCAGTGGAAATCTTTGAGGATGGTTCATGGCCAACACTCTGTTATCTAATATTGGGCCCTGGGAGTCCTGGGATCCTTTTTTCCATAATTTTTTTATGTGACACCCACTGTCTTGAGACTTCAAGGTATAAAGAGAAAACAGGAGCATCACACTACCTGATCTCAAAATATGTTACAGAGCTGTAGTAAGCAAAATAGCATGACACTGGCATAAAGAAAGGCACATAGAACAACGGAGCAGAATGAATAACACAGATATATTCCATGCATTTACATCCAATGGTTTTTTATTTTTTCTTTTGAGATGGAGTCTTGCTCTGTCACTCAGGCTGGAGTGCAAAGGTGCAATCTCGGTTCACTGCAACCTCAGCCTCCTGGGTTCAATCATTCTCTTGCCTCAAACTCCTGAGTAGTGGTATTACAGGTGCTGACCACCATGCTCAGCTAATTTTTATATTTTTAGTGGAGATGATGTTTCATCACGTCGGCCAGACTAATCTTGAACTCCTGGCCTCAGGTGATCCACCCACCTCGGGCTCCCAAAGTGCTGAAATTGCAGGTGTTAGCCACCAAGCCCAGCCCATCCAATGGACTTTGACAAAGATGCCAAGAACTCACAATCAGGAAAGGACAGTCTTTTCAATAAACAGTGCAGGGAAACCTGGACATCTACATGCAGAGGAATGAAACTGCACCTCTACCTGTCACCATACACAAAAATCAAATGAAAATGGATTAAAGATGTGAGTCTAAGGCCTGAACCTATGAAACACGTAGAACAAAATATTGGGGAAATGCTCCAGGACATTTGTCTGAAGAAAGACATTTTGTTTTAAACCTTGAAAACACAAGTAATCGAAGCAAAAATAGACCATTGGGATTACCTCATACTAAGCAACTTCTGCACCGCTAAAAATAAACCAACAAAGTGAAGAGACAACCCACAGATTGGGAGCAAATATGTGCAAACTATGCATCTGAGATGGGATTAATAACTAGAAATATAAGAAGCTCAAACAACTCAATAAAACAAATGATTTAATTGAAAAAGGAGCAAAAGACATGAAATTTCCCCACATACGAAAAACTGCTCAGTATCACTCATCATCAGAGAAACGCAAATTAAATTCAAAGTGAGTTTTCATCTCACCCCATTAAAATGGCTTTTAGGCCGGGTGAGGTGGCTCACGTTTGTCATCCTAGAACTTTGAGAGCCTGAGGTGGGTGAATCTCATAAGGTCGGGAGTTTGAGACCAGTATGACCCACATAGAGAAACACTGTCTCTACTAAAAATACAAAAATTAGTCGGGCGTGGTGGCGTGTGCCTGTAATTCCAGCTACTCGGGAGGCTGAGGCAGGAGAATCGCTTGAACCTGGGAGGTGGAGGTTGTGGTGAGCCGAGATCGCGCCACTGCACTCCAGCCTGGGTGAGAAGAGCAAAACTCCATCTCAAAATAAAATGAAATAAAATAAAATGGCTTTTAGCTGCAAGACAGGCAAAAGAAATGCTGGCAAGGTGGTAGAGAAAGGAGAACCCTGGTACCCTGTTGGGAGGAGTGTAAATTAGTACAGCCATTACGGAGAAAAGTATGGAAGTCCTTTAAAGAACTAAAAAGAGGTTGGGTGCGGTGGATCATGCCTGTAATCCCGGCACTTTGGGAGACTGAGGCGGGCACCTCAGTTGAGGTCATGAGTTTGAGAGCAGCCCAGCCAACATGGGGAAACCCCATCTATACTAAAAAAACCAAAAAGTAGCCAGGCATGGTGGTGTGCACCTGTAATCCCAGCTACTAGGGAGGCTGAGGCAGGAAAATCATTTGAACCCAGGAGGCGTAGGTTGCAATGAGCCAAGGTCGCACCACTTTGACTCCAGCTTGGGCTAAGGAGGGAAACTCTTTCTCAAAAAAGAAAAAAAGAAAAAAAGAGAACTTTCATAGTATCCAGCAATTTCACTACTGGGTTTATATCCAAAGGAAAGTAAATCAATATATCGAAGTGATATCTGCACTCGTATGATTGGTGCAGCACTGTTCACAGTAGCCAAGATGAGGAGTCAACCTACCTGCCCATCAGTGGGTAAATGGATAGAGAGAATGTAGTACATACGCATAGTGGAGACTACTCATCCATAGAAAGAATAACATCCTGTCATTTGCAGCCACATGGATGGAACTGGAGGTCATTACAAAGATTCCCATTTCTCACCCATATACAGGAGCTAAAAGGTGGATCTCATGAAGGTAGAGAGTAGAATGGTGGCTACTGGAGGACAGGAAGAAAAGGGTGGAGGGTAAAAAAAATGTATATATATATATATGTATATAAATGTATTTATGACCACTAGACTTTACACTTAAAAATGGTAAATGTGGCTGGGCGCGGTGGCCCATGCCTGTAATCCCAGCACTTTGGGAGGCAGATGCGGGTGGATCACTTGGTCAGGAGTTCGAGACCAGCTCGACCAACATGGTGAAACCACCTCCCTACTAAAAATACAAAAAGTAGCCTGGCGTGGTGGTGCGTGCCTGTAGCACCAGCTACTCAGGTGGCTGAGGCAGGAGAATCGCTTGAACCCAGGAGGTGGAGGTTGCAGTGAGCTGAGATTGTGCCACTGCACTCCAGCATAGGGGACACAGCTAGACTCCACCTCAAAAAAAAATGTTAAAAGTGGTAAGCTATATAGGTATATTTATCCTCAATAAATATTTCTTCAAAGAAAAGTAAAGGGTGTAGGGGTTGCTGGTGATGACATCTCTGTGTGGGTGAGAGGCCAGGATGGGCTTCTGGGAAATGGGTAAGGTTGAGGGGCTGAGGGAACCTCTGATCTCCCCAAACTGAGCCCAGTCTCCCTCCTCTGGGTCTCTCCTGACCGCTTTCTCCATCTGCCTGGGTGCCTGGAGCCCTGGCCGTGGGCCTCCATGCAGGCCATGTAGGAGGGTTTGGAGGTGCCCTGTCGGCCATCCTGTGCCCTGATCCCTCCCTCACACCGAGGCTGCGTCTTCTCTCTGCATCTGTCCATGCTTCTCTCCATCATCAGCAGGAAGCTCCTCAGCTAAGGCTCTAGGATCATAGGACATGGGACAGCCATGGGCTTTCCTCACCTGTGACAGAAACAAGCAGTGGGTCACTTGACTTTGACCACTCGTATGGAGAGTCACGGAAAGAGCCGAAGCATCTGTAGGTCCCTCCATGGGTGGCAGGGCCCAGAGGAAAGTTGGCCTGGAATGTTCCGTTGACCTTGGTCCCTGCAGGGAGCCTACGTTCATGGGCCTCCCCTTCCCTGGATAGATGGTACATGTCATAGGAGCTCCGGGAGCTGCAGGACAAGGTCACATTCTCTCCTGCCAGAACCGTGGGGCCCGGCTGGGCTGAGAGAGAAGGTTTCTCATATAGACCTGGAAGGAGAAGAGGCAGTTTCCTCAGGGAGGATCTTCCTTGTCACAGCTCCCTTCACCTGAGCTGAGAACTCACTCCCCTGCTCTATGACCTAATGCTCTCTCTCTCTCTCTCTCACCCTCTACCCCATCGCTCTTCATGTCTATTTCCTCCTTCCACCTTCTCTGTCTCTTTAGGTCTCTGACCTCACTTCCCCACCTCTAGATATGTTTTCTCTTTTTGGATTGTTTTATTCTCTCTGACTCTCCTTGGATTGGTTGACTTGATGTTACTTTTTTTAATTCTGAGTTTCTCACTTTGTGTCCTGTTCATAACTTTCTGCATATTTCTATCTATTATCTATCGATCTATCTATTTATCTATTCGGTGCCTATCTACAAATTCTCTACCTGTCATCTATATCTATATATCATCTATTTATCCATCAATTGTCTATCTATCCATCAATCATCTATTATCTATATCTATGTATCATCTCTCTCTCTCTATGATTTCTCTATGTCTGCCTCTGTATCTCTATGTATTATCTATCTATCTGTCTTCATCATCATCATCTCTATGTCTCATCTATTAATGAATCAATCAATCATCATCTATGTATCTATAACCTATTATCTATCATCTACCTATTTATCATCTATCTATATCTATCCATCTATCATCTGTCTTGCTCTGCCTCTCGGTCTCTCTAGTTCTCTTTGGAATCTCTGCAATTCATCCCCACATCTCCATCTTTCAATGTCCTTGTGCCTCTCCCTCAGGAGTCTAATTTTAGTGCTTTTCTCTGCTCCCTTCCATCATTCTCACTTCTCTGCCCTCTTTTCTCTTTATGTGTCTGTGAGTCTCTCAATCTCCTTCCTCTGGCTCATTCTCTGTGTGTTTATGTCTTTGCTTTTTGGTGTCCCTGATTTCTCTCTGTGCCTCTCACTGATCCTCTCATAAGTGGGCTTATTTGGAATATGAGCCTCAGAATCCAGTCTGGAGACTACAAGTTCACACAGCATACAGGGGTTGGTGTTGTGGGGCCATGATATCCTGGGACGATTACTCTCCATTACATGGAAGGCAGAGGTGTCAGAATAAACATGGCATCTGTAGGTGCCACAAGGCCTGAGGCCACAGGGCCCAACTCAGGTCAGAAATATGGGTGTCCTTGGGTTCTCCTGGTAGAGAACACTTTGTGGAGGTAAAACAGAAATGAAACTTCTAACCTGTGCCAGGTCTCTGAGCAAAGTCAGCATGGAGGGACACCTCTCTCTGGGACATGTCTGTCTGTGTGTTTCCTTTAACTCTTTCTGTCTTTTCAAACTCCCGGTATGGCCCCTGTGTCTGTTCTCTGTTATGACACCTGGTCTCTACTTGTGTCTCCTGTTTCTCTGTCTCTGTTGGCACAGACCTCACCAAGTCAGTCTCTCTCCATAAGAATACCAAGCTCATCTTCCTTACAGCCACCTGGGCCTCCAAGTCCTGGATCATTCACTCTGCATCCCAATGACAATGAGAAGAAAGTCTGGACACTCTCACCTATGATCACGATGTCCAGAGGGTCACTGGGAGCTGACAACTGATAGGGGGAGTGAGTAACAGAACCGTAGCATCTGTAGGTCCCTGCCAGGTCTTGCTTCATGCGACTGATGGAGAAGTTGGCCTTGGAGACCCCATCATGGTGTTCTCCAATGAGGCGCAAAGTGTCGTTAAACATCCCCTCTCTGTGCAGAAGGAAGTGTTCAAACATGACATCTGACCAACATTGCAGGATGACTGTCTCTTCTGATTTCACCAGGCGACCTGGGTGGGCCAGGAGGGAAGGTTTTCTGTGGACTCCTAGGAAGAGAGGTTGTGAGTTTAGAAGGTGTCTCTCTTTATCATCCCATCCATGGCACCTGGATTGAGTCAGGCTTCCCCTTCCTGGTGTCTTATCTCTCTCCTTCCTCTCTGTGTCTTCATGTTCTTTTCTGTGCCCATAACTCCTGGTGCAGGTCCTTCCATCTGTCTCCCTCACTCTTCTCTGTCCCTCTGTCTCTAGTAGCCTCTGATTCCCTTGCCGCTGGGCTCAGCCTCATCTCTTGGGCTGTTGTATCTATTTCGAACTAATGTCTTTCCTGCTGTCTGTGTGGGGGTGGAAGAGGAACCAGGATAGGCTGCACATCCAGGCTCTTAGCAGCCTGGTTCAATCTCTTTTGGACGAATTGGAATCCTTGGCAGGAGGTATGAACTGATCAGTAAGGCAGGCACCAGTGGCCACACACCCTGTTCCTGGTAGGGACTGGGAGACACTCTTGCCATGCCAGTGCCAGCTTCCATAGCCTGGCTCCTGGTGCTGGTTGGAGGAGTATCAACCGCTCCCTATGTGGATGGAGCCTGGTGGTGGCATCATCATCCGAGCCTTGCTGATCTCAGTGTAGCCAACCTTCTCCTTGTTTGGTTTCTTTAATTAATTAATTAATTTTGGCGACAGAGTCTCACTCCTTTGCCCAGGCTGGAGTGAAGTGGTGTGGTCTAGGCTTACTGCAACCTCTGTCTCCTGGGTTCAAGTGATTCTCCTGCCCTCAGCCTCCCAAGTCGCTAGGATTACATGCACCTGCCACCATGCCTGGCTATCCTTGTGTTGTTTCTTAACTTGTCCTTGACCTGGGTTCCAGTGTTGGTTTCCTGTTGCTGCTGTAGAAAATTATCAGAAGCATGGCAGCAGGAGAGAGCACACTAACCCCTTCCAATTCTGGAGACAGAAATCGGACCCTGTTTGTCGTGGGTAAAATCAAGGTACCTGCAGGGCTTCGTTCCCTCTGGAGACTCAGGAGAATCAGTTCCTTGACTTTTCCAGCCTCTATAGGCCACCTGCATTCATGGCTCCTGGACTTCCTCCACCTTCAAAGCTGATGGAGACTCCCATTATGCTGCTGTAATCCCCACTCCCCTCTTCCTCCTCCTTTCCTGTGGACCCCTGTGACTACACTGAGCCCATCAGGACAGTCCAGGTTGTCTCCCCATCTCAAGGTCAACTCATCAACAACCTGAGCTCCATCTTCTCCTTCAGTCCCTTCCCCTATATCATAAATAGTCACAGACTCCAGGGATTAGAATGTAGTCATCACTGGGGACAATTATTCTTCCCACCACAGCACCCATTTCCCTGTATTCAATCCCCCTTTACCCCAAATACAGTCAGGACTTGCATGATGGGACCCGCAAGGACACGCCCACCAGGAGCTCTGGGATTCAGGAGGTGGGACAAGGAGAATCCCAGACAGGAGCCCTCTGACCTGTGACCGTGATCTCCAGGGGGTTGCTGGGTGCCGACCACCCACTGGGGTAGTGTGGTTGTGAACCCCGACATGTATAGGTCCCTGCGTGTGCTGGGGTCACAGGGCCCATGAAAAGGCTGTTCCAGAATATTATGTTGTAGAGCTCAGGGACAGGCACCCCATCTTCCTTTTACAGACTGAAGTTGTTAAACCCAAGATAAGAATGACACTGAAGAATCACATATCCTGGAGGCACCACAGGGCTTGGCCAGGCAGACAGCAAGGGCTTGTCCTGACCACCGTGGGGAGAAGGAGGCACCGCCTTAGAGAGGAGGATGTGGAGCCGCCCCTCCCTCCCTGTGCTCTGAAGATTCTCCTCGCTTTCCAAGTTTCTATGGCTGCTATCACACCTTGGTGCCCAGGGCTAAAGGAAGAACCCATCCCGCAAACACAAGGTGTCTCCCTACAACAAAAGTGTCAGCTGAGAACTTTGAGCAAGTGCTGAGTAAGAGACTCCTACTAGATTTTAATACTGTAAGATTACTCACATAAAACAACACAGGGTAGACATGGGGTGGAGGGCATGTCCTTTGAGAATGGAATATCAGCCGATGCCTGAACGAAAATAAACAACTGAGTCCCCATCAGAGGATTGGAATGTCAGGGCCATGGCTGTGGTTTTCCCACCTCTTCTGGTAGAATGACAGCAGCCACACTGCAGCCCCTACCGTCATGGAAACGCTGAAGTGTGTGAGTAACACCTTTGTCCTCAGAGGATCTGCTGTTCCTACCACTTCCCCACCACACACCCCAGCTTTGAGCACCGTAGTCTAACCCTGGTCCCCACAGAACTTGACTCTGCCAAGGGAATGAAAGGCCAGGGAGGCAAGGTCAGAAATGTGGGCCCAGCACCCCAGGGTCCCTTCTTCCTAGTTTATGAGAGACTCCCTGACAGGACTTCCCTCCCATTTCAGGAAAATCCTCTTATGTGGGGAGATGACACCCGAAGGTTGGGAGAAGGACTCACCCTCATGTGGCCAGGCCCCCTGCAGCAAGAAGAACCCTGGAAAGAAAGATCATGATGGATGACCCATCTGCAGGCAAACCAGGGCACCCTTGCTGCCCCCACTGGGCTGTGAGTCTTGGTAGCCAGGCCCTTCCTGGGCTGAAGGTAAACTCACCCTCAGTGCCTACCTGCACCCAAGAACAGGGCTGTCGGCTGTGCAGAGACCCAGCCTCCAGGTCCATATCCCCACCTCAAGCCCATATCTCCACTCCAGGCCCATATCTCCACTCCAGGCCGATATTTCCACCCTAAGCCCATATCGCCAATCCAGGCCCATATCTCCAATCCAGGCTCAGATCTCCACCCTGGGCCCATATCTCCAATCCAGGCCCTTATCTCCACTCCAGGTCCATATCTCCTCTCCAGTCCCATATCTCCACTCCAGGCCCATATATCCTCTCCAGTCCCATATCTCCACACCCAGGCCCGTATCTCCATCCTAGGCACATATCTCCTCTCCAGGCCCAGATATCGACCTCTAGGCCCATATCTCCACTCCTGGCCCATATCTCCACTCCAGGCCCAGATATCGACCTCTAGGCCCATATCTCCACTCCTGGCCCATATCTCCACTCCAGGCCCATGTCTCCACTTCAGGCCCATATCTCTACTGCAGGCCCGTAACTCCACCTCCAGGCCCATGACTCCACTCCAGGCCCATATCTCCACCTCCAGGCCCATATCTCCCCTCCAGGTTCCTATCTCCCCTCCAGGTTCCTATCTCCACTCCAGGCCCAGATCTCCACTACAGTCCCATCACTCCACCTCCAGGCCTATATCTCGACCTCTGGGCCCAGATCTCCACTTCTAGGCCCATCACTCCATCTCTAGGCCCATATATCCACTCCAGGCCCAGATCTCCACTCCAGGCCCACAACTCCACCTCCAGGCCTATATATCCACCTCTGGGCCCAGATCTCCAACCCCACACTCCCTTCCTCTATTCCCTTCCAGGACTCACCAACACACGCCATGCTGACGACCGTGAGCGACATGGTGCTGCCGGTGCAGACAGGCGGCCGCGCCCCAGCTCAGCTCAGCAGCGCACAGGATGTTATTTGGCGCCCTGCCCATGCAGTTTACATGTTGACCACATCATGGGAGGGTGACGTACGCAGGCTCTTTCTACCTTGCATGAGGCCCAGTGGTTGCTCGCTCAAGAGCGGAACACGGCTTCCTGGAAATTGTTCTCACTAGAATTTACACCTAGCGTCCTTCACTATGACCAACTCAAAACACGTCTCAGATCCAACCTCCTGAACACGAGATGCCTAAAATCTGTGCTAACGTGAAAGACTTTTCATGTATTTTTATTGTTTTTATCTGAGATTCAAACTCTTCTTCCTGTGTAATATGCAAAATATCTAATAGGTATTATTAAGGTTTTCAGGAGTCATTGTGACTAATAAACCATTAGAATTTTTCATGCTTGTATTTCTAGTATTACAGCAGAACCAGTTAAAATGATTTAAATTCCCAGGAAAGGATTATGCAATTATTTACAATCTTTCGAATTGTACGTTTATCAGCAAAAACCACACATTTAAACTCTGGATTTTTGTAGATTTATCTAAAATTTGTCTCATGACCCAAGATTCCAGAGTCCCAACTCTGGAGTTTGCTCTCTCTCTGTCTCTCTCCCTCCCTCATTTTAAATTTTACAGGAAATATCCAGTAACATAATGCTATAGAAAATCAAGTTTCCCCCAGCACGTTCGGGAAGCCGAGGTGGGCGGAATCAACTGATATAAGGAGTTTGAGAGCAGCCTGGCCAACACAGTGAAACCGTGTCTCTGCTAAACATCCAAAAATTAGCCGTGCCCAGTGGCAGGACACTTGTAACACCAGCTACTCCAAGAGGCTGAGGCACGAGAATCGCTTGAACCTGGGAGGCGGAGGTTTGCAGTGAGCTGAGATTGCACCACTGCAGTCCAGCCTGGGTGACAGAGCAAGATTCCGCCTCAAGAAAAAAAAAATAGCAAATAGCCTATAATAACAAATTAGAGGGCCTCTGGCTACTAAATTTAAAGGGTTCTATAAGGGCTACATGAAAGTGGCAGCATCCTCAAGAATGTGGACACAGAGAGCCGTTTAGCAGAGACAGTGTCTAAAATACACATCCGTGTACACACAGTCCCTTTTAGAGTTGACAAAGGCTGCCGTGTGGTTTAAGGTGGCATAGAATGTCTTCTCAATAAATAATATTAAACCAAAGGGTTACACATAGGAAATAATAAATCTAAACTTATTCTCACACTATAAAAACACTTCTTAGTTTTTATCTAGTTATTGTACATTTTTTATGATTTATATTTAAATTTGAGAAATAAACAGTCTTATACCGGTCATCCTTCACTATTCCATGGGTGATTGGTTTCAGGATCTCCACTCAGATACCTAAAATCTGCAGATGCTCAAGCCTCTTACATAAAATGACACAGGCATTTGGCATATAACCCATGCACATCCTCCTGTATACATGAAATCATCTCTAGATTACTTATAATTCCTGATACAGGCCTATACACCACGCTTCATTTGTGTGCCATTCAACACAGTTTTGCTTTTTGGAAAGCTTTGTGGGCTTTTCTTCTCTGAATATTTTTGATTTATACTTGGTTCAATAAACACCTGTAAACCCCACAGATACGGAGGAGCGACTGTATATATATATAGTATGAAAGATGATGCGTTGACATGTGTCCCCGTGGAGATGAGACTAACAAGGCCTATGACTCTACAAATGTTTCATCATGGAATGACTCTGCCAGCTTTCCAGGTCTGCAGAGAGTAAGAATATCACTTGTTCATGTGATTCACGATCCTTGGAACTTCCTATGTGCTGCATCTTTGGATGGAAATTGGAGTCTCAGAGACAAGTCAGGGTCCACCCTGCTTCCAGAAGCTCAGAGTCCAGGGGTGAGAACCCAGTGGAGAACAGATGGGGTTATGTGGACATGGTAATGATAACACCAGAAGCCTTTCAGGCAAGAATAGAGTCCCATTACCGAAACCATGAGGGCAGACATGTTTATTTGAAGGAGGGAAAACTACATTGAAATTACTAAAAACAATTTATAAGTTTTCACTGCTGACTGACAGAAGGCTGGAAAGATAGTCTGAGGGAAGGTGGAACTGCATGAGAGAAGGTGGAACAGCACGTGTCTAAGTGCCATGTTAAGAGGGAGCCTCTTGTATGTTTGGAATTGTGAGTTCCTCAGTGTGATTGCAGCCTCAAGTAGACTAGGAAGTAAGCCAGTTCAGGTTGGAGAGGTGGGCAGGGGTCAAGTGAAATGGAGAATTGTGGGCTAAGCAAAGGAGTGTGTTTTCTCTCCAGCAGGCAGTGGGGACCTTAGACATTTGTAAGCAAGAGAGAGGCATGTTCAGATTCGTGGTTTGAGGAAGAGCGATCCCCTAAGATGAAGACTGATGCCTTCAGATTCCAGCTGCTGGTACATGGGAGCTGGCAACCCGGTTTTGAGACAGGGCTGTTGTCTCCCTAGAAGATCCCCTCAAGGCCTGACTGTGGTGCTCGTGGACAGAAGACAGCTTTGGATCTGGACTCAGCATTTGGAAGTTCTATGTACATGCTGGTATCTGTTGGAGGTGTCTTGGGCCTCTGAGAAGGGGAAGTGATTTTTCTCTGTGTGAAAACACAGTGATCCAATTATGCGTATGACACCTCCTGATGGTCCTGTTCATCAGAATCCTGGAGAGAGGGAAATGCTGAGTGAGGGAGGGTGCTCACATTTTTCAGGACTCTTTGGGAATAAGACTAGCCACGAGGCTGGGCCGAGGAGCACCTACCTCCCTGTTCACTGTTCTGTTCCCCGCAGGCCCTTGGTCCATTACAGATGCATCTGTAGAAGATGGAAGTCAACAAAACAGCTCGGAGGGCACTTCTGGGTCCTCATTTCATAAGCAGATACCAACAAACAGGGGGAGGCCATAGGTGCCTGAGGTCCCTCAGTTGCCAACAGCAGACTCAGACATTCTATCTCTCTGAGCTCAAGGACCCATCCCATGAATAGCTCTGAGTTCCCATCCCATTGATTCTATCTCCCACTTTCTGCCTGTCATGGAACCTTCTCCTGGATGTGAGTGGCTGCAGGGGACGTGAGGGTACAGTTCAGAATCAGGCAATGGTCTGTGAGCTGAAGGCAGGGGAAGGGAATCTGGTGCTCTCTCTAGAAAGTCCTGCCTCTGTGGCTCCTGCCTTGGGCCAGGGACCATCCTGCCTGTGAGGAACACACACCCGCGTGCTACCATCCTGCTTCCCCACATGGCCCTGAGCTCTCTGGCCTCTGCTTCGTGAGACTTACTTTTTTTGTTGGAGCACCAGCGATGAAGGAGAAAGAAGAGGAGGATGGTGAAAGGGAGTTTGACCACTGAGGTCCCAATCAGAACGTGTAGGTGTCTGGGGTTACCTGGAAGAAGAGGAGACACCAATAAGAAGCTAATCATAGCAGTTCCTCTTTATGAATTGTCTCGCATTTCTTGATTGACAGGTAACCACATACAACGTCTCTTTAGGACAAGCACCCAAATGGTGGGAGACCTAGCTTTCCCCTGCTTTCTCAATTATAGCTCTCATAGTAACCATAGAACGTGCTGAGGATACAACTACTTTAGTTGAGATGTCTGACCCCTTCAAACCTCACATGGAAATTTCACCCCCACTGTGGGAGGTTGGGCCTCTTGGGAGGTGTTTGGGTCATGGAGGTGGATCCATCATGAACAGAACAATGCTGTCCCAAGGAGACGGGGTTAGCAAGTTCCCCCTCTATTAGTTCCCGGAGAGCTGGTTGTTCAAAAGAGCTTGGAAGCTCCATCGCTCCCCCTCCCCCTTACTCTCTCTCTTGCCGTGTGATCTCTGCGGTCTCTGCACAGACAGACCCTCCTTCCCTTCTGCCAGAGTGGGAGCAGCCTGAGGCCGTCACAAGAAATAGATTCTGGTGCCATGCTTCCAGTACAGCCTGCAGAACGGTGAGGCAAACCGATCTCTTTTCTTTAGAAGTTACCGAGGCTCAAGTTTTCCTTTAGAGCAACAAAAAAAAACTACGACAGCAACGTCCTGAGATCAGGAGGAATGTCTCAGAACAGCCTGGGCTGTCTTCCTGTTCTTCCTGGAGGAAGGCGTCATGCAGTGCTTTAGCTGAGTGCTTCCTGTGGCTCCAGGGTACAAAACCCAGGCTGGGCTGCTTTCTGGCTTCCCCCAGCTACACTGCAAATGGGGTGACTCCATATGTCCCGAGCAGCTTTTCTGAGCCTTGAGGGACTGGCTCACATTGAAATGTAGGCTTCTGTTGTCACTCACTGCTTATCTGTTAGTAATGAACCTGCCTGTGTAATGTATTCTCTGTGTGTTCTGTCTTCCTGGAGTGACGGTGAGTGATAGGAATTGGCATAGGCCCAGGTGCAGTCCAGGAGGTGTTTAGAGTCTTCTCTGGGAAGACTGCACTGGGATTGATACACAGCGAATGTGCTTTAGGATTTATACATCCACGGCATTCTTGAGTCAAACAACTTGCATTCTCCAAGAAAAGGAAACAAAAGTGAAATCAAGATAAAAAAAGCGAAGTAGAATTCTCTTATGTCAAATGGCCAGGAAATAGTGTTGAAGCCCATGTGAAACGTGCTACTCTTTGTGATCTCAGGAGACACATGTTAGGCTGCTGTTCTACCCCAGAGGCTGGGGGAAGGACCACACCCTCGGCCATCTATTGCTTCAATACCACCTGTCCTCCTGTGAATTAGTAGGAAAGGGGAGCAGGAGCTAGTGCTGACGCTGATCTCTGATTCCAAGATCTGGACTCACTCCAAGGAGTATTAGAATTTACCTCCCCATGGCCTATCTGAATCTCCACAGATGATTGGAAGTAGGGGTGAGGTGGGGGATTTGGGTGAGAGGGCATGTTTTTTTTGTGATGAACAGAGCACTTTGTGTATTCCAGGATCTGTGCTGGAGGATTCAGCGGGCTTTCACATTTTCTATATGATCTCATGCTCACAGAAAGCCAAATAGGGAAGAGGTTTTAGGCTCATTGCCTAATGGATAAGATAAAGGATCAAAGAAGTAATTATAGAGAAATAGAAAAATCATGATTGGAATTCAGGTCCCTTTGTCATTTGCGTGTGTTATATTATATTTATATTTATGCATTTCTTATTTTTATTTTTTGAGACGGAGTCTCCTTGTGTCACCCAGGCTGGAGTGCAGTGATGCAATCTCCACTCACTGCAAACTCCACCTCCTGGGTTGAAGTCATTCTCCTGCTTCATCCTCCAGAGTAGGAGCTGGCATTACAGGGATGCACCACCATGTTCGGCTAATTTTTGTGTTTTTCCTAGAGACAGGGTTTCACCATGTTGGCCAGGCTGGTCTCGAACTGCTGACTTCGTGTGATCCACCCGCCTTGGCCTCCTGCAGTGCTGGGTTACAGGCGTGAGCCACCGTTCACAGACTTGTATATTATGCTGTAATAGGTCCCTTCATTTCCACCACCCCTCATATATCTGTCACTCCTTTGCCAGGTATTGATTTATGTGTAGTAGGAATAAAGCTCAGAAAGAAATTAAGCGAGGATTAGACAACTAGGAAAATCATACCCAGCAAGCCTTTCCAGCCAATGATTCCACCTCACAAGCATATCTTATATCCATCTGCTTCACCCAGTTAGGGTCTAAATCAGCACCACATTTCACCAGTGAGGCGGGAATTGCCTTTTCCACGGTCTCCTAGATTCCAGTTACGCACCTGGGCCTCCCTTATTTTCATGTCAGTCACTATTAATCATGTAGGGATTCCTGGCTACCCCGAGGTGAATCCAATGGCTGTGAGTGTCAAACACACACTCCTTGTTGCTCCTTAGTTTCCTGTGTACCCAGTGTGCTCTCCGTCTCTCCACAGTCGTCTTGTCATTCTCCCCATCTCATTCCCAGCATTTGAGGCAGAGCCTCTTCCTTCCACATCAGATTGTTTTCAGCTTTCTGCCTTCACGGCTGACAGCTGTGTGTGGAAAATCCTTCCGCCAATCTTTCAGGGGTTCAATCCGTGTTTTTCATTAATGTCACAAATATCTGATTAGTGAGATCTTCTCTGTCACCCAAAATCATACACTCAGCATTATGTATTATTTATTTTAAATTCTGGCTGGGCACAGTGGCTCACGCCAGTTATCCCAGTACTTTAGGATGCTGAGACGGTCGGATCACTTGAGGTTGGGAGTTTCAGAGAAGCTTGGCGAAGATGGTGAAACATCCTCTACAAAAAATATACAAAAAGAATTAGCCGGGCATGGTGGCAGTTGCCTGTAATCCCAGCTACTCGAGAGGCTGACGCAGGAGAATCACTTGGATCCAGAAGGTGCAGGTTGCAGTGAGCCAAGATGGTGACACTGCACTGTAGCCTGGAAGACGGAGGGAGACTCTGTCTCAATAAACAAACGAAGAAACAAACAAATAGATTTCATACACAGATGCTTCCCAATGGATCATTCATTTATTGGTCCACTTGTGCATTCATTTTCTGCCCTCCCATTTAACCATCTGCAATATCAGTGTCCCAAGGGCAGAGGCCAAATGCATCTTGTTCACTGTTTGTGGAAGGTAGGAGAATGCTGTCCCACCCCAAAATGTCCCTGTCCTAGCCTCCATAGCTTGTGAATATCTTATTTTACATGGAAAGGAGGAATGAAGATTGCAGATGGAATTATGGTTGCTAATCAGCTGAACTTAAAACAAGGGTATCCTGAATGATTTCCTGGAGATTATGATGGATTTTCATCTTGGTGAACCCAATAGAATCCCCAAGTTTTCAAAAGATGAGGAAGAAGGGAGAGCAGCATTCAGATAAAGAGGTGTGGTAAGGAAGAAGGGTCTGAGTGATGCCACGTGAGATGTGACCAGCCTTTGTGGGCTTTGAGGAAGGAGGAAGGGGACCAGGAGCGAAGGAATGTGGGAGCCTCTAGAAGCTGGGACAAGTGAGAAGCAGATTCTTGCCTGGAACCCTCAGAGGGAAGGCAGCCTTGCTGTCGCCTTGATTTTAGCCCAGTGAGATGCACTTCATACTTTGAGCTAGAGCACTGTAAGATAATTAAAAAACCGTTTTGTTTTCACCCACGAATCTTGTGGAAATTTGTTATGGCAACAATAGGAAAAGCTTCCACACTGCACAGCCTGAGCATGGGGCCGTGGCTGAATGAGTCAGTGAGTCGAAGTGTGCGTGCATGAGCTCTGTTCTCTGTTACGGCAAGGCGCTTTCTCTGCGGAGTCAGCCAGGGTTGCTTCATGACCTACAGGAGCTCATTCCTTGGCAAGTGGAACTTCTCTAAAACACCTCGCCCTCATCAGATGTTCCCTTCCCTTCCCTCTCTCAAGTCTCCAGGAATTTATCCTCCAGTTAGGAATGCAGGCAGAACAAACATTGCATTTTTCCTGAGAAGGATGTCAGATTGGCAATCATTCTTCTAGCTTGTAGGAGGTCTCAGCTCCATAAAATGAGGGATGAAGAGATTTCACTGAGCCCTGTGTTGGGCCCAGATCCCTTTCGCTGTTGGAGTATCTGGAGTTCGGAGATGGTGGAAGACAGGGGTACAATGTCAGAGCTGTGAGATGCTGAGTCAACGCCTGAATCCAAGGTTTCCACCTCCCCAGGTTTCCAAAAGCGGATATAAGAGGGTTCTGTACTCACCGGTTTCGGAGCTTGGTTCAGTGGGTGAAGGCCAACTATTTGAAGAGTTTCCTAGAACACGAGACAGGAGAGAGGTGAGGAAATGAGGGTGTCTGTCCTCTACTCAGTGGAAATCTTTGAGGATGGTTCATGGCCAACACTCTGTTATCTAATATTGGGCCCTGGGAGTCCTGGGATCCTTTTTTCCATAATTTTTTTATGTGACACCCACTGTCTTGAGACTTCAAGGTATAAAGAGAAAACAGGAGCATCACACTACCTGATCTCAAAATATGTTACAGAGCTGTAGTAAGCAAAACAGCATGACATTGGCATAAAGAAAGGCACATAGAACAATGGAGCAGAATGAATAACACAGATATATTCCATGCATTTACATCCAATGGTTTTTATTTTTTCTTTTGAGATGGAGTCTTGCTCTGTCACTCAGGCTGGAGTGCAGAGGTGCAATCTCAGTTCACTGCAACCTCAGCCTCCTGGGTTCAATCATTCTCTTGCCTCAAACTCCTGAGTAGTGGTATTACAGGTGCTGACCACCATGCTCAGCTAATTTTTATATTTTTAGTGGAGACGATGTTTCATCACGTCGTCCAGACTGATCTTGAACTCCTGGCCTCAGGTAATCCACCCGCCTCGGCCTCCCAAAGTGCTGAAATTGCAGGTGTTAGCTACCAAGCCCAGCCCATCCAATGGACTTTGACAAAGGTGCCAAGAACTCACAATCAGGAAAGGACAGTCTTTTCAATAAACAGTGCAGGGAAACCTGGACATCGACATGCAGAGGAATGAAACTGCACCTCTACCTGTCACCATACACAAAAATCAAATGAAAATGGATTAAAGATGTGAGTCTAAGGCCTGAACCTATGAAACACGTAGAACAAAATATTGGGGAAATGCTCCAGGACATTTGTCTGAAGAAAGACATTTTGTTTTAAACCTTGAAAACACAAGTAATCGAAGCAAAAATAGACCATTGGGATTACCTCAAACTAAGCAACTTCTGCACTGCTAAAAATAAACCAACAAAGTGAAGAGACAACCCACAGATTGGGAGCAAATATGTGCAAACTATGCATCTGAGATGGGATTAATAACTAGAAATATAAGAAGCTCAAACAACTCAATAAAACAAATGATTTAATTGAAAAAGGAGCAAAAGACATGAAATTTCCCCACATACGAAAAACTGCTCAGTATCACTCATCATCAGAGAAACGCAAATTAAAATCAAAGTGAGTTTTCATCTCACTCCATTAAAATGGCTTTTAGGCCGGGCGAGGTGGCTCACGTCTGTCATCCTAGAATTTTGAGAGCCTGAGGTGGGTGAATCTCATAAGGTCGGGAGTTTGAGACCAGTATGACCCACATAGAGAAACGCTGTCTCTACTAAAAATACAAAAATTAGTAGGGCGTGGTGGCGTGTGCCTGTAATTCCAGCTACTCGGGAGGCTGAGGCAGGAGAATCGCTTGAACCTGGGAGGTGGAGGTTGCGGTGAGCCGAGATCGCACCACTGCACTCAGCCTGGGTGACAAGAGCGAAACTCCACCTCAAAATAAAATGAAATAAAATAAAATGGCTTTTAGCTGCAAGACAGGCAAAAGAAATGCTGGCAAGGTGGTAGAGAAAGGAGAACCCTGGTACCCTGTTGGGAGGAGTGTAAATTAGTACAGCGATTACGGAGAAAAGTATGGAAGTCCTTTAAAGAACTAAAAAGAGGTTGGGTGTGGTGGATCAGGCCTGTAATCCCGGCACTTTGGGAGACTGAGGCGGGCACCTCAGTTGAGGTCATGAGTTTGAGAGCAGCCCAGCCAACATGGGGAAACCGCATCTATACTAAAAAAACCAAAAAGTAGCCAGGCATGGTGGCGTGCACCTGTAATCCCAGCTACTAGGGAGGCTGAGGCAGGAAAATCATTGGAACCCAGGAGGCGGAGGTTGCAATGAGCCAAGGTCGCACCACTTTGACTCCAGCTTGGGCTAAGGAGGGAAACTCTTTCTCAAAAAAGAAAAAAAAAAAAAAGAGAACTTTCATAGTATCCAGCAATTTCACTACTGGGTTTATATCCAAAGGAAAGTAAATCAATATATCGAAGTGATATCTGCACTCGTATGATTGGTGCAGCACTGTTCACAGTAG
Source organism: Homo sapiens (assembly GCF_000001405.40). Classification (NCBI taxonomy): domain Eukaryota; kingdom Metazoa; phylum Chordata; class Mammalia; order Primates; family Hominidae; genus Homo; species Homo sapiens. The sequence goes on along the minus strand of NW_016107304.1, from coordinate 153,334 downwards.
CCAAGATGAGGAGTCAACCTACCTGCCCATCAGTGGGTGAATGGATAGAGAGAATGTAGTACATACGCACAGTGGAGACTACTCATCCATAGAAAGAATAACATCCTGTCATTTGCAGCCACATGGATGGAACTGGAGGTCATTACAAAGATTCCCATTTCTCACCCATATACAGGAGCTAAAAGGTGGATCTCATGAAGGTAGAGAGTAGAATGGTGGCTACTGGAGGACAGGAAGAAAAGGGTGGAGGGTAAAAAAAATGTATATATATATATATATAAATGTATTTATGACCACTAGACTTTACACTTAAAAATGGTAAATGTGGCTGGGTGCGGTGGCCCATGCCTGTAATCCCAGCACTTTGGGAGGCTGATGCGGGTGGATCATGTGGTCAGGAGTTCGAGACCAGCTCGACCAACATGGTGAAACCACCTCTCTACTAAAAATACAAAAAGTAGCCTGGCATGGTGGTGCGTGCCTGTAGCACCAGCTACTCAGGTGGCTGAGGCAGGAGAATCGCTTGAACCCAGGAGGCGGAGGTTGCAGTGAGCTGAGATTGTGCCACTGCACTCCAGCATAGGGGACAGAGCTAGACTCCACCTCAAAAAAAAATGTTAAAGGTGGTAAGCTATATAGGTATATTTATCCTCAATAAATATTTCTTCAAAGAAAAGTAAAGGGTGTAGGGATTGCTGGTGATGACATCTCTGTGTGGGTGAGAGGCCAGGATGGGCTTCTGGGAAATGGGTAATGTTGAGGGGCTGAGGGAACCTCTGATCTCCCCAAACTGAGCCCAGTCTCCCTCCTCTGGGTCTCTCCTGACCGCTTTCTCCATCTGCCTGGGTGCCTGGAGCCCTGGCCGCGGGCCTCCATGCAGGCCATGTAGGAGGGTTTGGAGGTGCCCTGTCTGCCATCCTGTGCCCTGATCCCTCCCTCACACCGAGGCTGCGTCTTCTCTCTGCATCTGTCCATGCTTCTCTCCATCCTCAGCAGGAAGCTCCTCAGCTAAGGCTCTAGGATCATAGGACATGGGACAGCCATGGGCTTTCCTCACCTGTGACAGAAACAAGCAGTGGGTCACTTGACTTTGACCACTCGTATGGAGAGTCACGGAAAGAGCCGAAGCATCTGTAGGTCCCTCCGTGGGTGGCAGGGTCCAGAGGAAAGTCGGCCTGGAATGTTCTGTTGACCTTGGGCCCTGCAGGGAGCCTACGTTCATGGGCCTCCCCTTCCCTGGATAGATGGTACATGTCATAGGAGCTCCGGGAGCTGCAGGACAAGGTCACGCTCTCTCCTGCCAGAACCGTGGGGCCCGGCTGGGCTGAGAGAGAAGGTTTCTCATATAGACCTGGAAGGAGAAGAGGCATTTTCCTCAGGGAGGATCTTCCTTGTCACAGCTCCCTTCACCTGAGCTGAGAACTCACTCCCCTGCTCTGTGACCTAATGCTCTCTCTCTCTCTCTCTCACCCTCCACCCCATCTCTCTTCACGTCTATTTCCTCCTTCCACCTTCTCTGTCTCTCTAGGTCTCTGACCTCACTTCCCCACCTCTAGATATGTTTTCTCTTTTTGGATTGTTTTATTCTCTCTGACTCTCCTTGGATTGGTTCACTTGATGTTACTTTTTTTAATTCTGAGTTTCTCACTTTGTGTCCTGTTCATAACTTTCTGCATATTTCTATCTATTATCTATCGATCTATCTATTTATCTATTCCGTGCCTATCTACAAATTCTCTACCTGTCATCTATATCTATATATCATCTATTTATCTATCAATTTTCTATCTATCCATCAATCATCTATTATCTATATCTGTGTATCATCTCTCTCTCTCTATGATTTCTCTATGTCTGCCTCTCTATCTCTATGTATTATCTATCTGTCTTCATCATCATCATCTCTATGTCTCATCTATTAATGAATCAATCAATCATCATCTATGTATCTATAACCTATTATCTATCATCTACCTATTTATCATCTATCTATATCTATCCATCTATCATCTGTCTTGCTCTGCCTCTCGGTCTCTCTAGTTCTCTTTGGAATCTCTGCAATTCATCCCCACATCTCCATCTTTCTATGTCCTTGTGCCTCTCCCTCATGACTCTAATTTTAGTGCTTTTCTCTGCTCCCTTCCATCATTCTCACCACTCCTCTGCCCTCTTTTCTCTCTCTTTATGTGTCTGTGAGTCTCTCAATCTCCTTCCTCTGGCTCATTCTCTGTGTGTTTATGTCTTTGCTTTTTGGTGTTCCTGATTTTTCTCTGTGCCTCTCAGTGATCCTTTCATATGTGGGGTTATTTGGAATGTGAGCCTCAGAATCCAGTCTGGAGACTACAAGTTCACACAGCATACAGGGGTTGGTGTTCTGGGGCCATGATATCCTGGGACGATTACTCTCCATTACCTGGAAGGCAGAGGTGTCAGAATAAACATGGCATCTGTAGGTGCCAGAAGGCCTGAGGCCATAGGGCCCAACTCAGGTCAGAAATATGGGTGTCCTTGGGTTCTCCTGGTAGAGAACACTTTGTGGAGGTAAAACAGAAATGAAACTTCTAACATGTGCCAGGTCTCTGAGCAAAGTCAGCATGGAGGGACACCTCTCTCTGGGACATGTCTGTCTGTCTGTCTCCTTTAACTCCTTCTGTCTTTTCTAACTCTCGGAAAGGCCCCTGTGTGTGTCCTCTGTTATGACACCTGGTCTGTACTTGTGTCTCCTGTTTCTCTGTCTCTGTTGGTACAGACCTCACCAAGTCAGTCTCTCTCCATAAGAATACCAAGCTCATCTTCCTTACAACCACCTGGGCCTCCAAGTCCTGGATCATTCACTCTGCATCCCAATGACAATGAGAAGAATGTCTGGACACTCTCACCTGTGATCACGATGTCCAGAGGGTCACTGGGCGCTGACAACTGATAGGGGGAGTGAGTAACAGAACCGTAGCATCTGTAGGTCCCTGCCAGGTCTTGTGTCATGCGACCGATGGAGAAGTTGCCCTTGGAGACCCCATCAATGTGCTCTCCAATGAGGCGCAAAGTGTGGTTAAACGTCCCCTCTCTGTGCAGAAGGAAGTGCTCAAACATGACATCTGACCAACATTGCAGGATGACTGTCTCTTCTGATTTCACCAGGGGACCTGGGTGGGCCAGGAGGGAAGGTTTTCTGCGGAATCCTAGGAAGAGAGTTTGTGAATTTAGAAGGTGTCTCTCTTTATCATCCCATCCATGGCACCTGGATTGAGTGAGGCTTCCCCTCCCTGGTGTCTGTCTCTCTCCTTCCTCTCTGTGTCTTCATGTTCTTTTCTGTGCCCATAACTCCTGGTGCAGGTCCTTCCATCTGTCTCCCTCCCTCTTCTCTGTCCCTCTGTCTCTAGTAACCTCTGATTCCCTTGCCGCTGGGCTCAGCCTCATCTCTTCGGCTGTTGTATCTATTTTGAACTAATGTCTTTCCTGCTGTATATGTGGGGGTGGAAGAGGAACCAGGATAGGCTGCACATCCAGGCTCTTAGCAGCCTGGTTCAATCTCTTTTGGTCGAATTGGAATCCTTGGCAGGAGGTATGAACTGATCAGTAAGGCAGGCACCAGTGTCCACACACCCTGTTCCTGGTGGGGACTGGGAGCCACTCTTGCCATGCCTGTGCCAGCTTCCATAGCCTGGCTCCTGGTGCTGGTTGGAGGAGTATCAACCGCTCCCTATGTGGATGGAGCCTGGTGGTGGCATCATCATCCCTCACTTGCTGATCTTGGTGTAGCCAACCTTCTCCTTGTTTGGTTTCTTTAATTAATTAATTTTGGAGACAGAGTCTCACTCCTTTGCCCAGGCTGGAGTGAAGTGGTGTGGTCTAGGCTCACTGCAACCTCTGTCTCCTGGGTTCAAGTGATTCTCCTGCCCTCAGCCTCCCAAGTCGCTAGGATTACATGCACCTGCCACCACGCCCGGCTATCCTTGTGTCCTTTCTTAACTTTTCCTCGAGCTGGGTTCCGGTGTTGGTTTCCTGTTGCTGCTGTAGAAAATTATCAGCAGCATGGCAGCAGGAGAGAGCACACTGACCCCTTCCATTTCTGGAGGCAGAAGTTGGGCCCTGTTTTTCCTGGGCTAAAATCAAGGCACCTGTAGGGTTTCGTTCCCTCTGGAGACTCAGGAGAATCAGTTCCTTGACTTTTCCAGCCTCTATAGGCCACCTGCATTCATGGCTCCTGGCCTTCCTCCACCTTCAAAGCTGATGGAGACTCCCATTACGCTGCTCTAATCCCCACTCCCCTCTTCCTCCTCCTTTCCTGTGGACACTTGTCATTACACTGAGCCCAGGGGGACAGTCCAGGCCTTCTCCCCATCTCAAGGTCAACTCATCAACAACCTGAGCTCCATCTTCCCCTTCAGTCCCTTCCCCTATAACATAAATAGTCACAGACTCCAGGGATTAGAATGTAGTCATCACTGGGGACAATTATTCTTCCCACCACAGCACCCATTTCCCTGTATTCAATCCCCCTTTACCCCAAATACAGTCAGGGCCTGCGTGAAGGGACCCTCAAGGACATGCCTACCAGAAGCTCTGGGATTCAGGAGGTGGGACAAGGAGAATCCCAGACAGGAGCCCTCTGACCTGTGACCACGATCACCAGGGGGTTGCTGGGTGCCGACCCCCCACTGGGGGAGTGTGTGTGTGAACCCCGGCATCTATAGGTCCCTGTGTGTGACGGGGTCACAGGGCCCATGAAAAGGCTTTTCCAGAATATTCTGTTGTAGAGCTCAGGGACAGGCACCCCATCATCCTTGTACAGACTGAAGTTGTTAAACCCAAGATTAGAGTGACACCGAAGAGTCACATGTTCTGGAGGCACCACAAGGCTGGGCCAGGTAGAAAGCAAGGGCTTGTCCTGACCACCTTGGGGAGAAGGAGGCGCCGCCTTAGAGAGGAGGATGTGGAGCCGCCCCTCCCTCCCTGTGCTCAGAAGATTCTCCCCACTTTCCACATTTCTATGGCTGCTATCACACCTTGGTGCCTAGGGCTAAAGGAAGGACTCATCCCACAAAGACAAGCTGTCTCCCTACAACAAAAGTGTCAGCTGAGAACTTTGAGCAAGTGCTGAGTAAGAGACTCCTACTAGATTTTAATACTGTAAGATTACTCACATAAAACAACACAGGGTAGACATGGGGTGGAGGGCATGTCCTTTGAGAATGGAATATCAGCAGATGCCTGAATGAAAATAACCAACTGAGCCCCCATCAGAGGATTTGGAATGTCAGGGCCATGGCTGTGGTTTCCCACCTCTTCTGGTAGAATGACAGCAGCCACACTGCAGCCCCTACCGTCATGGAAACGCTGAAGTGTGTGAGTAACACCTTTGTCCTCAGAGGATCTGCTGTTCCTACCACTTTCCCACCACACACCCCAGCTTTGAGCACCCTAGTGTAACCCTGGTCCCCACAGAACTTGACTCTGCCAAGGAAATGAAAGGCCAGGGAGGCAAGGTCGGAACTGTGGGCCAAGCACCCCAGGGTCCCCTCTTTCTAGTTTAAGAGAGACTCCCTGACAGGACTTCCCTCCCGTTTCAGGAAAATCCTCTTATGTGGGGAGATGACACCTTAAGGTTTGGAGAAGGACTTACCCTCATGTGGCCAGGCCCCCTGCAGCAAGAAGAACGCTGGAAAGAAAGATCATGATGGACCATCCATCTGCAGGCAAACCAGGCCTTCCTTGCTATCCCCACTAGGCTGTGAGTCTTGGTAGCCAGGCCCTTCCTGGGCCGAAGGGAAACTCACCCTCAGTGCCTACCTGCACCCAAGAACAGGGCTCTCGGCTGTGCAGAGACCCAGCCTCCATTCCCATATCCCTACCCCAAGCCCATATCTCCACTCCAGGCACATATCTCCACTCCAGGCTGATATTCCCACCCTAGGCCCATATAGCCAATCTGGGCCCACATCTCCAATCCAGGCTCAGATCTCCACCCTAGGTCCATAACTCCAGTCCAGGCCCATATCTCCACTCCAGGCCCATATCTCCTCCCCAGGCCCATATCTCCACTCCAGGCCCATATCTCCACCCCGGGCCCAGATCTCCACCTCCAGGCCCATAACTACACTCCAGGATCATATCTCCACTCCAAGCCCATATCTCCACAACAGGCCCATATCTCCACTCCAGTCCCATATCTCCACCCCACGCCCATATCTCCACTCCAGGCCCATATCTCCATTCCAGGCCCATATCTCCACCCCACGTCCATATCTCCACTCCAGGCACATATCTCCACCCCACGCCCATATCTCCACTCCAGTCCCATATCTCCACTCCAGGCCCATATCTCCACCCCACGCCCATATCTCCACTCCAGTCCCATATCTCCACCCCACGCCCATATCTCCACTCCAGTCCCATATCTCCACCCCATGCCCATATCTGCACTCCAGTCCCATATCTCCACCCCACACCCATATCTCCACTTCAGTCCCATATCTCCACTCAAGGCCCATATCTCCACCCCACGCCCATATCTCCACTCCAGGCCCATATCTCCACTCCAGGCCCATATCTCCACCTCCAGGCCCATATCTCCACTCCAGGCCCATATCTCCATCTCCAGGCTCATATCTCCACTCCAGGCCCATATCTCCACTCCAGGCCCTTATCTCCACCTCCAGGCCCATATCTCCACTCCAGACCCACATCTCCACTCCAGGGCCATATCTCCACTCCAGGTCCATATCTGCACCTCCAGGCCCATATCTCCACTCCAGGCCCATATCTCCACCTCCAGGCCCATAACTTCACTCCAGGCCCATAACTCCACTCCAGGCCCATATCTCTACTCCAGTCCCATATCTCCACTCCAGTCCCATATCTCCACCCTAGGCTCCTACCTCCCATCCAGGTTCCTATCTCTTCTCCAGGTTCCTCTCTCCACTCCAGGCCCATATCTCCACTGCAGGCCCATATCTCCACTCCAGACCCAGATCTCCACTTCTAGGCCCATCACTCCATCTCTAGGCCCATATATCCCCTCCAGGCCCAGATCTCCACTCCAGGCCCATAACTCCACCTCCAGGCCTATATCTCCACCTCTGGGCCCAGATCTCCATCCCCGCGCTCCCTCCCTCTATTCCCTTCCAGGACTCACCAACACACGCCATGCTGATGACCATGAGCGACATGGTGCTGCCGGTGCAGACAGGCGGCCGCACCCCTAGCTCAGCTCAGCAGCGCACAGGATGTTATTTGGCGCCCTGCCCATGCAGTTTACATGTTGACCACATCACGGGAGGGTGACGTACGCAGGCTCTTTCTACCTTGCATGAGGCCCAGTGGGTGCTTGCTCAAGAGCGGAACACGGCTTCCTGGAAATTGTTCTCACTAGAATTGGCACCTCGCGTCCTTCACTATGACCAACTCACAACACGTCTCAGATCCAACCTCCCGAACACAAGATGCCTAAAATCTGTGCTAACGTGAAAGACTTTTCATGTATTTTTATTGTTTTTATCTGAGATTCAAACTCTTCTTCCTGTGTAATATGCAAAGTATCTAATAGGTATTATTAATGTTTTCGGAGTCATTGTGACTAATAAACCATTAGAATTTTTCATGCTTGTATTTCTAGTATTACAGCAAAACCAGTTAAAATGATTTAAATTCCCAGGAAAGGATTATGCAATTATTTACAATCTTCGAATTGTACTTTATCAGCAAAAACCACACATGTAAATTCTGGATTTTTATAGTTTTATCTATAATTTGTCTCATGACCCAAGATTCCAGAGTCCCAACTCTGGAGTTTGCTCCCTCTCTGTCTCTGTCCCTCCCTCATTTTAAATTTTACGGAAATATCCAGTAACATAATGCTATAGAAAATCAAGTTTCCCCCAGCATGTTTGGAAGCCGAGGTGGGCGAATCAACTGAGATGAGGAGTTTGAGAGCAGCCTGGCCAACATAGTGAAACCGTGTCTCTGCTAAACATTCAAAAATTAGCCGTGCCTGGTGGCAGACACCTGTAATGCCATCTACTCAAGAGGCTGAGGCACGAGAATCGCTTGAACCTGGGAGGCGGAGTTTGCAGTGAGCTGAGATTGCACTACTACAGTCCAGCCTGGGTGACAGAGCAAGATTCCGCCTTAAGAAAAAAAAAATAGCAAGTAGCCTATAATAACAAATTAGAGGGCTCTGGCTACTAAATTTAAAGGGTTTTATAAGGCTACATGAAGTGCAGCATCCTCAAGAGTGTGGACACAGAGAGCCCCTTAGCAGAAACAGTGTCTAAAATACATCCGTGTACACACAGTCCCTTTAGAGTTGACAAAGGCTGCCCTGTGGTTTAAGGTGGCATAGAATGTCTTCTCAATAAATAATATTAAACCAAAGGGTTACACGTAGGAAAAAATAAATCTAAACTTATTCTCACACTATAAAAACACTTCTTGTTTTTATCTAGTTTATAATTTTTTTATGATTTATATTTAAAATTTAGAAATAACAGTTTTATACGGTCATCCTTCACTATTCCTGGGTGATTGGTTTCAGGATCTCCACTCAGATACCAAAATCTGCAGATGCTGAAGCCTCTTACATGAAATGGCACAGCGCTTGCATATAACCCATGCACATCCTCCTGTATACATGAAATCATCTCTAGATTACTTATAATTCCTGATATGGCCTACACACTGCTTCATTTGTGTCCCTTCAACATAGTTTTGCTTTTTGAAAGTTTGTGGATTTTCTTCTCTGAATATTTTTTATTTATAGTTGGTTCAATAAACACCTGTAAACCCCACAGATACGGAGGAGCGACTGTATATATATATATAGCATGAAAGATGATGTGTTGATATGTGTCCCCATGGAGATGAGACTAACAAGGCCTATGACTCTACAAATGTTTCATCGTGGAATGACTCTGCCAGCTTTCCAGGTCTGCAGAGAGTAAGAATATCACTTGTTCATGTGATTCATGATCCTTGGAACCTCCTATGTGCTGCATCTTTGGATGGAAATTGGAGTCCCAGAGACAAATGAGGCTCCACCCTGCTTCCAGAAGCTCAGAGTCCAGGGGAGAGAACCCAGTGGATAACAGATGGGGTTATGTGGACATGGTAATGATAACAGCGGTTTCTTTCAGCGAATAGTGTCACATTACCTAAAGCAATGAGGGCAGACATGTTTATTTGAAAAGGAGACAGCTACATTGAAATCACAAAAAATTTTATAAGTTTCACTGCTGACTGACAGAAGGCTGGAAAATAGTCTGAGGAAAGGTGAAACAGCATGAGGGAAGGTGGAACAGCACGTGTCTCAGTGCCATGTTAAGAGGGAGCCTCTTGTATGTCTGGAATTGTGAGTTCCTCAGTGTGATTGCAGCCTCAAGTAGACTAGGAAGTAAGCCAGTTCAGTTGGAGAGGTGGGCAGGGGTCAAGTGAAATAGAGAATTGTGGGCTAAGCAAAGGAGTGTGTCTTCTCTCCAGCAGGCAGTGGGGACCTTAGACATTTGTAAGCAAGAGAGAGGCATGTTCAGATTTGTGGTGTGAGGAAGAGCGATCCCCTAAGATGAAGACTGATGCCTTCAGATTCCAGCTGCTGGTACATGGGAGCTAGCAACCCGGTTTTGAGACAGGGCTGTTGTCTCCCTAGAAGATCCCCTCAAGGCCTGACTGTGGTGCTTATGGGCAGGAGACAATGATCTTGGCTTAGCATTTGGAAGTTCCATGTACATGGTGGTATCTGTTGGAGGTGTCTTGGGCCTCTGAGAAGGGGAAGTGATTTTTGTCTGTGTGAAAACGCAGTGATCCAACTGTGCATATGTCACCTCCTGAGGGTCTTGATCATCAGAGTCCTGGAGAGAGGGAAATGCTGAGTGAGGGAGGGTGCTCACATTCTTCAAGACTATTAGGGAATGAGACTCAATCCATGAGGCTGGGCTGAGGAGAACCTACCTCCCTGTTCACTGTTCTGTCCCCGGCAGGCTCTTGGTCCATTACAGCAGCATCTGTAGGAGATAGAAGTCATCAAAACAGCTGGAAGGGCACTTTTGGGTCCTCATTTCATGAGCAGACACCAACACACAGCGGGAGGCCGTAGGTGCCTGAGGTCCCTCAGCTGTCATCAGCCAGACCCAGACATTCTATCTCTCTGAGCTCAAGGACCCATCCCATGAATAGCTCTGAGTTCCCATCCCAGTGATTCTGTCTCCCCTTTCTGCCTGTCATGGAACCTTCTCCTGGATGTCAGTGGCTGCAGGGGACGTGAGGATACAGTTCAGAATCAGGCAATGGTCTGTGAGCTGAAGGCAGGGGCAGGGTGTCTGGTGCTCTCTCTAGAAAGCCCTGCCTCTGTGGCTCCTGCCTTGGTCCAGGGACCATCCTGCCAGTCAGGAACACACACCAGTGTGCTCCCATCCTGCTTCCCCACATGGTCCTGAGCTCTCTGACCTCTGCTTCGTGAGACTTACTCTTTTTGTTGGAGCAGCAGCAATGAAGGAGAAAGAAGAAGAGGATGATGAAGAGGATGATAGCCACTGAGGTCCCAATCAGAATGTGCAGGTGTCTGCGGATACCTGGGGGAAGGTGGGAATCCAATAAGAAGCTAATTATAGCAGTTCCTCTTTATGGATTGTCTCTCATTTCTTGGTTGCCAGCTAAGCACATACAACATCTGTTTAGGACAAGTTCCCCGATGGCAGGATACCCAGCTTTCTCCTGCTTTCTCAGTTATAGTTCTCAAAATAATCAGAGAACATGCTGGGGATACCACTGCTATAGTTTGGATGTTTGACCCCGCCAAACCTCACGTTGACACTTATCTCGCAGTGTGGGAGGCTGGGCCTATTGAGAGACGTTCCAGTTATGGGGGTGGATCCATCATGAATACATTAATGCTGTCCCCATGAGACGTGGTTGGCAAGTTCTCCATGAGGTCCCTAGGACTGGTTGCTAAAAAGAGCATGGGGTTTCTCCATGTTGGCCAGGCTGGTCTCAAACTCCTGACCTCAAGTGATCCAAACGCCTTGGCCTCCCAAAGTGTTGGGTTACAGGCGTAAGCTCCCATTCACAGACTTGTATATTATGCTATAATAAGTCCCTTCATTTGCACCACCCCTCATCTATCTATCAATCACTCCTCTGCCAGATATTGATTTACATGTAGGAAAAATAAATCTCAGAAAGAAATTAATATATTCAAAATTAAATAAGTAGGCATTATCAAATCCAGCAAGCCCTCCCTACAAATGATTCTACCTCACAGACATATCTTATACCCATCTACTTCATTCATTTAGTGTCTAAATCAGCACCACATTTCACCAGTGGGGCGGGAATTGCCTTTTCCACGGTCTCCTAGATTCCAGTTACGCACTTGGGCGTCCTTATTTTCATGTCAGTCATATTAATCATGTAGGGATTCCTGGCTACCCCGAGGTGAATCCAATGGCTGTGAGTGTCAAACACACGCTCCTTGTTCCTCCTTAGTTTCCTGTGTACCCAGAGTGCTCTCCGTCTCTCCACAGTCGTCTTGTCATTCTCCCCACTTCATTCCCAGCATTTGAATGCAGAGCCTCTTCCTTCCACATCAGATTGTTTTCACATTTGTGCCTTCACGGCTGACAGCTGTGTGTGGAAAATCCTTCCGCCAATCTTCCAGGGGTTGAATCTACTTTTTTTTTTCATTATGGTCACAAATATTATCTGATTAGTGAGACTTTCTCTGTCTCCTGAAATTATACACTTAGAATTCTTTATTATTTATTTTAAATTTCGGCTGGGCGCAGTGTCTCACACCTTGAGTCCCAGCATTTTGGGATGCTGAGACGGTCGGATCACTTGAGGTTGGGAGTTGGAGACAATCTGCGCAACATGGTGAAACTCCATCTCTACTAAAAAATATAAAAGAATATTAGCTGGGTGTGGTGGAGGGGACTGGAATCACAACTAGTCAGGAGGCTGAGGCAGGAGAATCGCCTGAACCCGGGAGGCGGAGGTTGTGGTGAGCTGAGGTCATGCCACTGCACTCCAGCCCGGGGACAGAGAATGACTTCGCCGCAAATAAATAAATACATAAATAGATAAATAGATAAATAAATAGGTAAATAGATTTCATGCACGGATGCTTCCCAATGGATCAATCATTACTGGTCCACTTGTGCATTCATATTCTGCCCTCCCATTTGCCCATCTGCAATGTCAGTGTCCTAAGAGCAGAGGCCAAATGCATCGTGTTTACCATTTGTGGAAGGCAGGAGAATGCTGGCCCACCCCCAAAATGTCCCTGTCCTAGCCTCCATAGCTTGTGAATATGTTATTTTACATGAAAGGAGGAATAAAGATTGCAGATGGAATTATGGTTGCTAATCAGCTGAACTTAAAAAGAGGTTATCTTGGGTGATTTTAGGGAGATTGTGATGGATTATCTTGGTAAACTCAATAGAATCCCAAAGTCTTTAAAAGAGGAAGAAAAAGTCAGAGCAACACTTAGAGAAAGAGGTGAGGTAAGGAAGAGGGATCTGAGTGATGCCACGTGAGAGATGTGATGAGCTTTTGTGGGCTTCGAGGAAGGAGGATGGGGACCAGATGCCAAGGAGCGTGGGAACCTCTGGGAGCTGGGAAATGTGAAAAGCCGATTCTCGCCTGGAACCTTCAGAGAAAAGGCAGCCTCGCAGTCACCTTGATTTTAGCCCAGTGAAATGCATTTCATATTTCTGAGCTATAACACTGTAAGATAATTTTAAAAGCTGTGTTGTTGTCATCCATGAAGATTGTGGAGATTTATTATGGCAACAGCAGGAAAGGGTTCCACACTGTACAGTCAGAGCACAGGGCAGTGGCTGAATAAGTGAGTAAGTGGAAGTGTCATATTTGTGGATGAACTACGTTCCTTCTTACTGCAAGGCTCTTGCTCTGCTGACTCAGCCAAGGTCGCATCATGACCAACAGGGGCTCATTCCTTGGCAAGTGGAACTTCTCTAAATCACCTTTCCCTCATCAGATGTTCCCTTCCCCTCCCTCTCTCAAGTCCCCTCAAATTTATCCTCCAATTTGGAATGCAGGCAGAAAAAACACCACTTTATCCCTGAGAAGGATGTCAGATTTGTACTCGTCCGTCTAGCTTGGAGGAGGTCTCAGCTGCAGAAATTTGAAATGAAGAGACTTCACTGAGCCCTTTGCTGTCCTCAGATACCCTTCGCTGTTGTAGTGTCTGGGGGTCAGAGATGTTAGAAGACAGGCCCACAATCACAGAGCTGGGAGGTGCTGAGCCAATGCTTGAATCCAAGATACCAACCTCCCCAGGTTTCCAAAAGCAGAGATAAGAGGGATCTTTACTCACCAGTTTTGGAGCTTGGTTCAGTGGGTGAAGATGAACTACTTGAAGAGTTTCCTAGAACACAGGACAGGAGAGAGGTGAGGAAATGAGGATGCCTGTCTTCTACTCAAAGGAAATCTTTGAGGTTGGTTCATGGCCAACACTCTGTTATCTAATGTTGGGCCCTAGGAGTCCTGGCGTCCCCTTCTCCATCATCATTGTTAAATGATGCCCAGTGTCCTGAGATTTCGAGGTATAAAGACAAAACAGGTGCTGGAGGCCTCACACTCCCTGACTTAAAAATATGTTACAAAGCTGTAGTAAGCACAACAGCATGACATTGGCATAAAGGCCCTTAGAGCAATGGAGCAGAATGAAGAACACAGATATAATTCATGCATTCACATCCAATGGACTTTGACGATTGTACGTGCCAAGAACCTGCAATCAGGAAACGACGGTCTTTTCAATAAATGGAGCAGGGAAAACTGGTATCTACATGCAGTTGATGAAACTGCACCTCTACCTCTCACCATACACAGAAATCAAATGAAAATGGAAGAAACACTTAAGGCCTGAAACCATTAAGCGTCTAAAAGGAAAGAGTGGGGAAATGCTCCAGGACATTTGTCTGAGGAAAGACATTTTATTTGAAATCTCAAAAACACAAGAAATCAAAACAAAATAATAGACCTTCGGGATTACATCAAAGTAAGCAGCTTCTGCACCGCAAAGGAAGCAACCAACAAAGTGAAGAAGAGACAAATTGGGAGAAAATATTTGTGAAGTATGCATCTGAGAGGGGATTAATAACTAGAATATACATAAAACTCAAGCAACGGTATAAAACAATGAATTTAATTTAACAATTAGTAAAAGACCTGAACAGACATTTCTCAACAAACAAAACGTACAAATGGCGAACATGTACATGAAAAAGTGCTCAGTATCACTAATCATGCCAATTGAAATCACAGTGAGCTATCATCTCATCCCATTAAAGTGGCTTTTATCTGAAACACAGACAAAATAAATGCTGGCAAGGTGGTAGAGAAAGGAGAACCCTGGTACCCTGTTGATAGGATCTAGCAATTCCACTACTGGGTGTAAACCCAAAGGGAAGGACATCAGTGTATCGAAGTGATATCTGCACTCATACGATTGGTGCAGCACTGTTCACAGTAGCCAAGATGTGGAGTCAACTTACCTGCCCGTCAGTGGGTGAATGGATAGAGAGAATGTAGTACACACACACAGTGGAGAGTACTCATCCGTAGAAAGAATAACATCCTGACATTTGCAGCCACATGGATGGAACTGGAGGTCATTGCAAAGATTCCCATTTCTCACCCATATACAGGAGCTAAAAGGTGGATCTCATGAAGGTAGAGAGTAGAATGGTGGCTACCAGAGGGCAGGAAGTAAAGGGTGGAGTGTAACAACAACAATAAAAAAGAATATAGATGTATTTATTTATTTAGAGACAGAATCTCTCTCTGTCTCCCAGGCTGCAGTGCAGTGGCCTGATCTCAGCTCAGTGCAACCTCTGCCTCCTGGGCTTACGTACTTCTCCTGCCTCAGCCTCCCATGTAGCTAGGAATACAGGTGCATGCCAGCATGCCCAGCCAATTTTTCTTGTCTGTTTAGTAAAGATGAATTTCCCTCATGTTGGCCAGGCTGATCTCGAGCCTCTGATCTTAAATGATCCACCTTCCTTGGCCTCTCAAAGCACCGAGATTATAACTGTGAGCCACTGCACCCTGCATATAAAGGAATTTATGACCACTAGATTTTACTTTTAAAAATGGTAAAGGTGGCAAATTATATAGTTACATTTAACCTAAATAAATGTTTTTTCAAACGGAAAGAAAAGGGTGTAGGGGTTGCTGGTGATGACATCTCTGTGTGGGTGAGAGGCCAGTATGGGCTTCTGGGAAATGGGTAAGGTTTAGGGTCTGAGGGAGCCTCTGATCTCCCCAAACTGAGCCGAGTCTCCCTCCTCTGGGTCTGTCCTGACCACTTTCTCCATCTGCCTGGGTGCCTGGAGCCCTGGCCGCGGGCCTCCATGCAGGCCGTGCAGGAGGGTTTGGAGGTGCCCTGTCTGCCATCCTGTGCCCTGATCCCTCCCTCACACCATGCTGCGTGTTCTCTCTGCATCTGTCCATGCTTCTCTCCATCATCAGCAGGAAGCTCCTCAGCTAAGGCTCTAGGATCACAGGACATGGGACAGGCATGGGCTTTCCTCACCTGTGACAGAAACAAGCAGTGGGTCACTCGGGTCTGACCACTCATAGGGTGAGTCATGGAGAGAGCCGAAGCATGTGTAGGTCCCTCCGTGGGTGGCAGGGCCCAGAGGAAAGTCAGCCTGGAATGTTCCATTGACGCTGGGCACTGCAGGGAGCCTAGGTTCATGGGCCCTCCCCTCCCTGGATAGATGGTACATGTCAAATGAGCTCCTGGAGCTGCAGGACAAGGTCACGTTCTCTCCTGTGCGAACCGTGGGGCCCGGCTGGGCTGAGAGTGAAGGTTTCCCAAATAGACCTGGAAGAAGAGGCAGTTTCCTCAGGGAGGTTCTTCCTTGTCACAGCTCCCCTCACACCTGAGCTGAGAACTCACTCCCCTGCTCTATGACCTAATGCTCTCTCTCTCTCTCACCCTCCACCCCCGACTCTCCCTGTGGATCCCTCCCTATGCGGCTCCAGCCTGGTGGTGGCATCAGCAGTGCACCCTTGCTGACCTTAGGGTAGCCAACCCTCTTGTTTGGTTTTTTAACTTGTCCTTGACCTGGATTCCTGTGTTGTTTCCTGTTGTTGCTGCAGAAAATTATCACAAACACGGCGGCGGGAGAGAACACTTCTGTTGACAGAAATCAGACCCTGTTCTTCCTGGGCTACAATCAAGGCATCTGCAGGGCTGCATTCCCTCTGGAGACTCGGGAGAATCAGTTCCATTGACTTCTCCAGCCCCTAAAGGCCACCTGCATTCCGTGGCTTCTGGCCTTCCTCCACTTTCAAAGCCCGCAGTGGCTGGTGGACTCTCCCTCCCACTACGCTGCTCTAATCCCCACTCTCCTCTTCCTCCTCCTCTCATGTGGACCCTTGTGATTACACTGAGCCCAGTGGGAGAGTCCAGGTCGTCTCCCCATCTCAAGGTCAACTCATCAACAACCTGAACTCCATCTTCCCCTTCAGTCCCATGTCCTATAACATAAATAGTCACAGGCTCCAAGGATTACAATATAGCCATGCTGCCGACAGTTACTCTTTCCACCACAGCACCCATTCCCCTGTATTCAATCCCCATTGACACCAAATACAGTCAGGGCCTGGATGATTGGACCCTGGTGGACACCCCCACCAGATGCTCTGGGATTCAGGAAGTGGGAGAAGGAGAAGCCCAGACATGAGTCCTCTGACCTGTGACCACGATCACCAGGGGGTTGCTGGGTGCTGACCACTCAATGGGGGAGCGTGGGTGTGAACCCCGACATCTGTAGGTCCCTGCGTGTGCAGGGGTCACAGGGCCCATGAGGATGCTCTTCCAGAATATTTTGTTGTAGAGCTCAGGGACAGGCACCCCATCTTCTTTGTACAGACTGAAGATGGTAAACCCAAGACGAGAGCGACACAGAAGAGTCACATGTCCTCCTCGAGGCACCACAGCGCTGGGCCAGGCAGACAGCAAGGGCTTGTCCTGACCACCTGGGGGAGAAGGAGGCGCCACCTTAGAAAGGAGGATGTGGAGCCGCCCCTCCCTGCCAGTGCTCAGAAGATTCTCCCCACTTTCCTCGTTTCTAAGGCTCCTACCACACTTGGGTGCCCATGGGTACGGGAAGGACCCACCCCGCATAGACTTGGCGTCTCTCTACAACAAAAGTGTCAGCTGAGAACTTTGAGCAAGTGCTGAGTAAGGGACTCCTACTAGATTTTAATACTGCAAGATTACTCACATAAAACAACACAAATAGACATGGGGTCGAGGGCATGTTCTTTGTGAATGGAATATCAGCCAATGTGTGAACCACAATACACAACTGAGCCCCCAACAGAGGATTTGGAAGGTCAGGGCCCTGGCTGGGGTTCCCCCACCTCTGAGGTAGAATGACAGCAGCCACACTGCAGCCCCTACCGTCATGGAAACGCTGGAGGGTGTGAGTTACACCTTTGTCCTCAGAGGCCTGCTGTTCCTAGCACTGCTTTGCTCCCTTCCTCTGCCAGTGACACCACATCCCAGCCGCACAGCCCAGCTTGGAGGACCCCAGTCTACCCTCCCGGGTTCCCACAGAACCTGACTCAGCCAAGGGAAAGGAAGGCTGGGGAGGGCAAGGTCGGAACTGTGGGCTGAGCACCCCAGGGTCTCCTCATCCTTGTTTATAAGAAAATCCCCCACCGGGCTTCCCTCCTGTTTCAGGAAAATCCTCTTATGTGGGGAGATGACACCCGAAGGTTTGGAGAAGGACTCACCCTCATGTGTCCAGGCCCCCTGCAGCAAGAAGAACCCTGGAAAGAAAGATCATGATGGACCATCCATCTGCAGGCAAACCAGGACTCCCTTGCTGCCCCCACTGGGCTGTGAGTCTTGGTAGCCAGGCCCTTGCTGGGCTGAAGGGAAACTCACCCTCAGTGCCTGCTTGCACCCAAGAACAGGGCTGTCGGCTGTGTAGAGACCCAGCCTCCAGGCCCATATCCGCACCCCAGGCCCCTATCCCCACCCCAAGCCCATATCTCCACTCCAGGCCCATATCTCCACTCCAGGCCAATATTTCCACCCTAGACCCATATCTCCAATCCAGGCCCATATCTCCACCCCAAGCCCATATCTCCATCCTAGGCCCATATGTCCACTCCAGGCCCAGATATCCACCTCTAGGCCCATATCTCCACCTCCAGGCCCATATCTCCACCTCCAGGCCCATGTCTCCACTCCAGGCCCATATCTCCATCCCAGGCCAATATCTTCACTCCAGGCTCCTATCTCCCCTCCGGGTTCCTATCTCCACTCCAGGCCCAGATCTCCACTCCAGGCCCATATCTCCACCTCCAGGCCCATATCTCCACTCCAGACCCAGATCTCCACTTCTAGGCCCATCACTCCATCTCCAGGCCCATATATCCACTCCAGGCCCAGATCTCCACTCCAGGCCCATAACTCCACCTCCAGGCCTATATCTCCACCTCTGGGCCCAGATCTCCATCCCCGCACTCCCTCCCTCTATTCCTTTCCAGGACTCACCAACACACGCCATGCTGATGACCATGAGCGACATGGTGCTGCCGGTGCAGACAGGCGGCCGCGCCCCAGCTCAGCTCAGCAGCGCACAGGATGTTATTTGGCGCCCTGCCCATGCAGTTTACATGTTGACCACATCACGGGAGGGTGACGTACGCAGGCTCTTTCTACCTTGCATGAGGCCCAGTGGGTGCTTGCTCAAGAGCGGAACACGGCTTCCTGGAAATTGTTCTCACTAGAATTGGCACCTCGCGTCCTTCACTATGACCAACTCACAACACGTCTCAGATCCAACCTCCCGAACACAAGATGCCTAAAATCTGTGCTAACGTGAAAGACTTTTCATGTATTTTTATTGTTTTTATCTGAGATTCAAACTCTTCTTCCTGTGTAATATGCAAAGTATCTAATAGGTATTATTAATGTTTTCGGAGTCATTGTGACTAATAAACCATTAGAATTTTTCATGCTTGTATTTCTAGTATTACAGCAGAACCAGCTAAAATGATTTAAATTCCCAGGGAAGGATTATGCAATTATTTACAATCTTAGAATTGTACTTTATCAGCAAAAACCACACCTGTAAATTCTGGAGTTTTGTAGTTTAATCTAAAATTTGTCTCATGACCCAAGATTCCAGAGTCCCAACTCTGGAGTTTGATCTCTCTCTGTCTCTCTCCCTCCCTCGTTTTAAATTTTACAGAAATATCCAGTAACATAATGCTATAGAAAATCAAGTTTTCCCCAGCACGTTGGGAAGCCGAGGTGGGCGGATCAACTGAGATAAGGAGTTTGAGAGCAGCCTGGTCAACATAGTGAAACCGTGTCTCTGCTAAAAATCCAAAAATTAGCCGTGCCTGGTGGCAGGCACCTGTAACGCCAGCTGCTCAAGAGGCTGAGGCACGAGAATCGCTTGAACCTGGGAGGTGGAGGTTGCAGTGAGCTGAGATTGTGTCACTGCAGTCCAGCCTGGGCGACAGAGCAAGACTCCGCCTCAAGAAAAAAAAAGCAAATAGCCTATAATAACAAATTAGAGGGCTCTGGCTACTAAATTTAAAGGGTTCTATAAGGCTACATAAAGTGCAGCGTCATCAAGAGTGTGGACACAGAGAGCCCCTTAGCAGAAACAGTGTCTAAAATACATCCATGTACACACAATCCCTTTAGAGTTGACAAAGGCTGCTGTGTGGTTTAAGGTGGCATAGAATGTCTTCTCAATAAATAATATTAAACCAATGGGTTACACCTAGTAAAAAATAAATCTAACTGACACTATAAAAACACTTCTTAGTTTTTATCTAGTTGTACATTTTTTATGATTTATATTTAAATTTGAGAAATAAAAGTCATATACGGTCATCCTTCACTATTCGTGGGTGATTGGTTTTGAGATCTCCACTCAGATACCAAAATCTGTAGATGCTCAAGCCTCTTATATGAAATGGCACAGCATTTGCAAATAACCTATGCACATCCTCCTGTATACATGAAATCATCTCTAGATTACCTATAATTCCTGATACAGCCTACACACAGCTTCATTTGTGTCCATTTAACATAGTTATGCTTTTTGAAACTCTGTGGATACTTTCTCTCAATATTTTTGATTTATACTTGGTTCAATAAACACCTGTAAACCCCGCAGATATGGAGGAGTGACCGTATATTTATATTATGAAAGAAGATGTGTTGATATGTGTCCCCATGGAGATGAGACTAACAAGGCCTATGACTCTACAAATGTTTCATTGTGGAATGACTCTGCCAGCTTTCCAGGTCTGCAGAGAGTAAGAGTATCACTTGTTCATGTGATTCGCGATCCTTGGAACCTCCTATGTGCTACATCTTTGGATGGAAATTGGAGTCCCAGAGACAAATGAGGCTCCACCCTGCTTCCAGAAGATCAGAGTCCAGGGATGAGAACTCAGTGGGGAACAGATGGGATTATATGGACATGGTACTGATAACACCGGAAGCCTTAGGCAAGAAAAGAGTCCCATTACCGAAACCATGGGGGCAGACATGTTTATTTGAAGGATGGAAAACTACATTGAAGTTATTTTAAAAAGTATATAAGTTTTACTGCTGACAGAAGGCTGAAAGCTAGTCTGAGGGGAGGTGGAACAGCATGAGGGAAGGTGGAACAGCACGTGTCTAAGTGCTGCGTTAAGACGGAGCCTCTTGTATGTGTGGAATTGTGAGTTCCTCAGTGTGATTGCAGCCTCAAGTAGACTAGGAAGTAAGCCAGTTAGGTTGGAGAGGTGGGCAGGGGTCAAGTGAAATGGAGAACTGTGGGCTAAGCAAAGGAGTGTGTTTTTTCTCCAGCAGGCAGTGGGGACCTTAGACATTTGTAAGCAAGTGAGAGGCACATTCAGATTTGTGGTGTGAGGAAGAGCGATGCCCTAAGATGAAGACTGATGCCTTCAGATTCCAGCTGCTGGTACATGGGAGCTGGCAACCCAGTTTTGAGACAGGGCTGTTGTCTCCCTAGAAGATCCCCTCAAGGCCTGACTGTGGTGCTCGTGGACAGAAGACAACTTTGGATCTGGGCTCAGCATTTGGAAGTTCTATGTACATGCTGGTATCTGTTGGGGGTGTCTTGGGCCTCTGAGAAGGGCGAGTGATTTTTCTCTGTGTGAAAACACAGTGTTCCAATTATGCGTATGACACCTCCTGATGGTCTTGTTCATCAGAATCCTGGAGAGAGGGAAATGCTGAGTGAGGGAGGGTGCTCACATTTTTCAGGACTCTTTGGGAATAACACTAGCCACGAGGCTGGGCCGAGGAGCACCTACCTCGCTGTTCACTTCTGTTCCCTGCAGGCTCTTGGTCCATTACAGCAGCATCTGTAGAAGACGGAAGTCAACAAAAGAGCTCGGAGGGCACTTCTGGGTCCTCATTTCATAAGCAGATACCAACAAACAGGGGGAGGCCATAGGTGCCTGAGGTCCCTCAGTTGCCAACAGCAGACTCAGACATTCTATCTCTCTGAGTTCAAGGACCCATCCCATGAATAGCTCTGAGGTCCCATTCCATTGATTCTATCTCCCACTTTCTGCCTGTCATGGAACCTTCTCCTGGATGTGAGTGGCTGCAGGGGACGTGAGGATACAGTTCAGAATCAGGCAATGGTCTGTGAGCTGAAGGCAGGGGAAGGGAATCTGGTGCTCTCTCTAGAAAGTCCTGCCTCTGTGGCTCCTGTCTTGGGCCAGGGACCATCCTGCTGGTGAGGAACACACACCCGTGTGCTCCCATCCTGCTTCCCCACATGGCCCTGAGCTCTCTGGCCTCTGCTTCGTGAGACTTACTTTTTTTTGTTGGAGCACCAGCGATGAAGGAGAAAGAAGAGGAGGATGGTGAAAGGGATTTTGACCACTGAGGTCCCAATCAGAATGTGCAGGTGTCTGAGGTTACCTGGAAGAAGAGGAGACACCAATAAGAAGCTAATCATAGCAGTTCCTCTTTATGAATTGTCTTGCATTTCTTGATTCACAGGTAACCACATACAGCGTCTCTTTAGGACAAGCACCCAGATGGCGGGAGACCCAGCTTCCTCCTGCTTTCTCAGTTATAGCTCTCATAGTAACCATAGAACGTGCTGAGGATACCACTACTTTAGTTGAGATGTTTGACCCCTTCAAACCTCAGATTGAAATTTACCCCCCAGTGTGGGAGGGTGGGCCTCTTGGGAGGTGTTTGAGTCATGGGGGTGGATACATCATGAACAGATCAATGCTGTTTTAAGGAGACGGGGTTAGCAAGTTCTCCCTCTATTAGTTCCTGGAGAGCTGGTTGTTCATAAGAGCTTGGAAGCTCCATCACTCCCCCTCTCCCTTGCTCCCTCTCTTGCCGTGTGATCTCTGTGGTCTCTGCACAGACAGACCCTCCTTCCCTTCTGCCAGAGTGGGAGCAGCCTGAGGCAGTCACAAGAAATAGATGCTGGTGCCATGCTTCCAGTACAGCCTGCGGAACTGTAAGGCAAACCAAAATCTTTTGTTTAGAAGTTACCCAGGCTCAAGTGTTCCTTTAGAGCAACAAAAATGGACTAAGACAGCAACGTCCTGAGATCAGGAGGAAAGTCCCAGAACAGCCTGGGCTGTCTTCCTGTTCTTCCTGGAGGAGGACGTGATGCAGTGCTTTAGCTGAGTGCTTCCTGTGGCTCCAGGGTACAAAACCCAGGTTGGGCTGCTTTCTGGCTTCCCCCAGCTACACTGCAAATGGGGTGACTCCACATGTCTCGAGCAGCTTTTCTGAGCCTTGGGGAACTGGCTCACATTGAAATGTAGGCTTCTGTTGTCACTCGCTGCTTATCTGTTAGTAATGAACCTGCCTGTGTAATGTGTTCTCTGTGTGTTCTGTCTCCCTGGAGTGACGGTGAGTGATAGGAATTGGCATAGGCCCAGGTGCAGTCCAGGAGGTGTTTAGAGTCTTCTCTGGGAAGACTGGACTGGGATTGATACACAGCGAATGTGCTTTAGGATTTCTACATCCACGGCATTCTTGAGTTAAACAACTTGCATTCTCCAAGAAAAGGAAACAAAAGTGAAATCAAGATCAAAAATGCGAAGTAGAATTCTCTTATGTCAAACAGCCAGAAAATAGTGTTGAAGCCCGTGTGAAATGTGCTATTCTTTGTGATCTCGGGAGACACATGTTAGGCTGCTGTTCTACCTGACAGGCTGGGGGAAGGACCACCCCCTCGACTATCTATTGCTTCAATACCACCTGTCCTCCTGTGAATTAGTAGGAAAGGGGAGCAGGAGCTAGTGCTGGCACTGATCTCTGATTCCAAGATCTGGACTCACTCCAAGGAGTATTAGCATTTACCTCCCCATGGTCTATCTGTATCTGCACAGGTGATTGGAAGTAGGGGTGAGGTGGGGGATTTGGGTGAGGGGGCAAGTTTTTTTTGTGATGACCAGAGCACTTTCTCTATTCCAGGATTTGTGCTGGAGGATTCAGCGGGCTTTCACATTTTCTATATGATCTCATGCTCACAGAAAGCCAAATACGGAAGAGGTTTTAGGCTGATTGTCTAATGGATAAGATAAAGAATCAAAGAAGTAATTATAGAGAAATAGAAAAATGATGATGGGAATTCAGGTGCCTTTGTCGTTCGTGTGTGTTTTATTATATTTATGCATTTCTTATTTTTATTTTTTGAGACGGAGTCTCCTTGTGTCACCCAGGCTGGAGTGCAGTGATGCGATCTCCACTCACTGCAACCTCCACCTCCTGGGTTGAAGTCATTCTCCTGCTTCATCCTCCAGAGCAGGAGCTGGGATCACAGGGATGCACCACCATGCTCGGCTAATTTTTGTATTTTTAGGAGAGATAGGGTTTCACCATGTAGAGATAGGGTTTCACCATGTTGGCCAGGCTGGTCTCGAACTCCTGATTTCTTGGAATCCACTGGCCTTAGCCTCCTGCAGTGCTGGGTTACAGGAGTGAGCCACCGTTCACAGACTTGTATACTATGCTATAATAGGTCCCTTCATTTCCACCACCCCTCATATATCTGTCACTCCTTTGCCAGGTATTGATTTATGTGTAGGAGGAATAAATCTCAGAAAGAAATTAATTTAGCAAGGATTAAACAACTAGGAAACTCAAACCCAGCAAGCCCTCCCTGCAAATGATTCTACCTCCCAAGCATAGCTTATATCCATCTGCTTCATCCACTTAGGGTCTAAATCAGCACCACATTTCACCAGTGGGGTGGCAATTGCCTTTTCCACAGTCTCCTAGATTCCAGTTACGCACCTGGGCCTCCTTTATTTTCATGTCAGTCATATTAATCATGTAGGGATTCCTGGTTACCCCGAGGTGAATCCAATGGCTGTGAGTGTCAAACACACACTCCTTGTTGCTCCTTAGTTTCCTGTGTACCCAGTGTGCTCTCCGTCTCTCTACAGTCGTCTTGTCATTCTCCCCACTTCATTCCCAGCATTTGAGGCAGAGCCTCTTCCTTCAACATCAGATTGTTTTCACCTTTGTGCCTTCACAGCTGACAGCTGTGTGGAAAATCCTTCCGCCAATCTTTCAGGGGTTCAATCCGTGTTTTTCATTAATGTCACAAATATCTGATTAGTGAGACCTTCTCTGTCACCCAAAATTATACACTCAGCATTATCTATTATTGATTTTGAATTCTGGCTGGGCAAAGTGGCTCACGCCTGTAATCCCAGTACTTTGGGTTGCTGAGATGGTCGGATCACTTGAGGTTGGGAGTTTCAGACAAGCTTGGCCAACATGGTGAAACATCCTCTCTACAAAAAATATACAAAAAGAGTTAGCCGGGCATGGTGGCAGTTGCCTGTAATCCCAGCTACTCGAGAGGGTGAGGCAGGAGAATCACTTGGATCCAGGAGACGCAGGTTGCAGTGAGCCAAGATCGTGACACTGCACTGTAGCCTGGAAGACAGAGGGAGACTCTGTCTCAATAAATAAATGAACGAACAAACAAATAGATTTCATGCACAGATGCTTCCCAATGGATCATTCATTTATTGGTCCACTTGTGCATTCATTTTCTGCCCTCCCATTTAACCATCTGCAATATCAGTGTCCCAAGAGCAGAGGCCAAATGCATCTTGTTCACCGTTCGTGGAAGGCAGGAGAATGCTGTCCCACCCCAAAATGTCCCTGTCCTGGCCTCCATAGCTTGTGAATATGTTATTTTACATGGAAAGGAGGAATGAAGATTGCAGATGGAATTACGGTTGCTAGTCAGCTGAACTTAAAACAAGGGTATCCTGAATGATTTCCGGGAGATTATGATGGATTTTCATCTTGGTGAACCCAATAGAATCCCCAAGTTTTCAAAAGATAAGGAAGAAGGGAGAGCAGCATTCAGAGAAAGAGGTGTGGTAAGGAAGAAGGGTCTGAGTGATGCCATGTGAGATGTGACCAGTCTTTGTGGGCTTTGAGGAAGGAGGAAGGGGACCAGGAGCCAAGGAACTGGGAGCCTTTAGAAGCTGGGACAAGTGAGAAGCAGATTCTTGCCTGGAACCCTCAGAGGGAAGGCAGCCTTGCTGTCACCTTGTTTTTAGCCCAGTGAGATGCACTTCATACTTTGAGCTACAGCACTGTAAGATAATTAAAAAGCCGCTTTATTTTCACCCACGAATCTTGTGGAAATTTGTTATGGCAACAATAGGAAAGGATTCCAACTGCACAGCCTGAGCATGGGGCCGTGGCTGAATGAGTCAGTGAGTCGAAGTGTGCGTGCATGAGCTCTGTTCTCTGTTACGGCAAGGCTCTTGCTCTGCTGAGTCAGCCAGGGTTGCTTCATGACCAACAGTAATTCATTCCTTGGCAAGTGGAACTTCTCTAAAACACCCACCCTCATGAGATGTTCCCTTCCCTTCCCTCTCTCAAGTCCCCAGGAATTTATCCTCCAGTTAGGAATGCAGGCAGAAAAAACACTGCATTTTTCCTGAGAAGGATGTCAGATTGGCAATCATTCTTCTAGCTTGTAGGAGGTCTCACCTGCAGGACATTAAAGGTTAAGAGACTTCGCTGAGCCCTTTGGTGGCCCTAGATCCCTTTCACTGTTGGAGTGTCTGGAGTTCAGAGATGGTGGAAGACAGGCCCTCATTCACAGAGCTGGGAGGTTTGAGCCAACGCTTGCATCCAAGGCTTCCACCTCCCCAGGTTTCCAAAAGCAGAGATAAGAGGGGTCCTTTACTCACCAGATTTGGAGCTTGGTTCTGTGGGTGAAGGCCAACTACTTGAAGGGTTTCCTAGAACATGGGACAGGAGAGATGTGAGGAAATGAGGGTGCTTGTCCTCTACTCAATGGAAATCTTTGAGGTTGGTTCATGGCCAACACTCTGTTATCTAATGTTGGACCCTGGGAGTCTTGGGATCCTCTTCTCCATAATTTTTGTGTGCGATGCCCACTGTCTTGAGACTTGAAGGTATAAAGAGAAAACAGGAGCATCACACTACCTGACTTAGAAATATGTTACAGAGCTGTAGTAAGCAAAACAGCATGACATTGGCATAAAGAAAGGCACATAAAAAATGGAACAGAATGGAGAACACGGATATGATCCATGCATTTACACCCAATGGCTTTTTTTTGTGTGTGTGTGATGGAATCTTGCTCTGTCATGCAGGCTGGAGTGCAGAGGTGCAATCTCAGCTCAATGCAACCTCCACTTCCTGGATTCAAGCAATTCTCTTGCCTCAAACACCCGAGTAGTGGTATTACAGGCACTGGTCACCATGCTCAGCTAATTTTTGTATTTTTAGTAGAGACGAGGTTTCACTCTGTTGGCCAGCCTGGTCTTGAACTCCTGGCTTCAGGTGATCCACCCGCCTCGGCCTCCCAAAGTGCTGGAATTGCAGGTGTGAGCCACCATACCCAGCCCATTTAATGGACTTTGACAAAGGTGCCAAGAACTCACAATCAGGAAAGGACAGTCTTTTCAATAAATGGTGTGGGGAAAACTGGATATCTACATGCAGAGGAATAAAACTGCATCTATACCTGTCACCATAAACAAAAATCAAATGAAAATGGATTAAAAACATGAGTCTAAGGCCTGAACCTATGAAACATGTAGAAGAAAATAATGGGGAAGACATTTGTCTGACGAAAGACATTTTGTTTAAAACCTTCAAAACACAAGTAATCAAAGCAAAAAATAGACCATTAGGATTACATCAAACCAAGCAACTTCTGCACCACAAAAGATAAACCAAGAAAGTGAAGAGACAACCCACAAAATAGGAGCAAATATTTGCAAACTATTCATCTGAGACGGGATTAATAACTGGAAATATAAGAAGCTCAAACAACTCAATAAAACAATTTAATTAAAAAACGAGCAAAAGACATGAGGAGACATTTCTCCACAAACAAAACATAGAAATGGCGATCACGTATATGAAAAAGTACTCGGCATCACTCATCATCAGAGAAATGTAAATTACAATCGCGATGAGTTTTCATCTCATCCCATTAAAATGCCTTTTAGGCCGGTGGCTCACGCCTGTAATTCCGGCACTTCAGGAAGCGGAGGTGGGCGGATCACCTGAGGTCGGGAGACCAGCCTGACCATCATGGAGAAACTCCCTCTCTACTAAACATACAAAAATTAGCTAGGCGTGGTGGCACACGCCTGTAATCCCAGCTACTTTGGAGGCTGAGGCAGGAGAATCAGTTGAACGCGGGAGGCGGAGGTTGCAGTGAGCTGAGATCACACCCTTGCACTCCAGCCTGGGCGACTATGAGTGAAACTCCATCTCAACATAAATAAATAAATAAAATAAAGTAAAGTAAAATGGCTTTTATCTGCAAGACAGGCAAAACAAATGCTGGCAAGATGGTAGAGAAAGGAGAACCCTGGTACCCTGTTGGTAGGAATGTAAATTAGTACAACTATTATGGAGAAAAGTATGGAAATTCTTTAAAAAACTAAAAGGAGGCTGGGCATAGTGG
The DNA here is from genome assembly GCF_000001405.40 of Homo sapiens. Taxonomy (NCBI): domain Eukaryota; kingdom Metazoa; phylum Chordata; class Mammalia; order Primates; family Hominidae; genus Homo; species Homo sapiens. Next base: position 125,351 of record NW_016107304.1, on the reverse strand, counting down.
CTTATGCCTGTAATTTCAGCACTTTGGGAAACCGAGGCAGGCACCTCACTTGAGGTCAGGAGTTTGAGAGCAGCCTGCCCAAAATTGGGATATCCCGTCTGTGCTAAAAAAATACAAAAATTAGCCAGGCATGGTGGCATGCACCTGTAATCACAGCTACTAGGGAGGCTGAGTCAGGACAATCATTTGAACCTAGGAGGCACAGGTTGCAATGAGCCAAGATCTCACCACTTAGACTCCAGCTTGGACTAAGGAGGGAAACTCTTTCTCAAAAAAGAAAAAAAAAAAAAAGAGAACTTTCATAGTATCCAGCAATTTCACTACTGGGTTTATATCCAAAGGAAAGGACATCAGTGTATCGAAGTGATATCTGCACTCATATGACTGTTCCAGCACTGTTCACAGTAGCCAAGATGTGGAGTCAACCTACCTGCCTATCAGTGGGTGAATGGATAGAGAACTGTGGTACACACACACAGTGGAGACTACTCATCCATAGAAACAATAACATCCTGTCATTTGCAGCCACATGGATGGAACTGGAGGTCATTACAAAGATTCCCATTTCTCACCCACATGCAGGAGATAAAAGGTGGATCTCATGAAGGTGGAGAATACAATGGTGGACACCAGAGGCCAGGAAGGGAAGGGTGGAGGGTAACAAAAAAAAGAATATAGATGTATTTATTTATTTAGAAACAGAGTCTCTCTCTGTCTCCCAGGCTGCAGTGCAGTGGCATGATCTCGGCTCAGTGCAACCTCGGCCTCCTGGCTTTAAGTGCTTCTCCTGCCTCAGCCTCCCAAGTAGCTAGGACTACAGGTGCATGCCAGCATGCTCGGCTAATTTTTCTTGTCTGTTTAGTAAAGATGAATTTCCCACATGTTGGCCAGGGTGATCTCGAGTTCCTGATCTTAAATGATCCACCTTCCTTGGCCTCTCAAAGCGCCGAGATTACAACTGTGAACCACCACGCCCAGCATATAAAGGTATTTATGACCACTAGATTTTACTTTTAAAAATGGTAAAGGTGGTAAATTATATAGTTACATTTAACCTCAATAAATATTTTTGAAAATGAAAAGAAAAGGGTGTAGGGGTTGCTGGTGATGATATCTCTCTGTGTGGGTGAGAGGCCATGATGGGCTTCTGGGAAATGGGTAAGATTGAGGGGCTGAGGGAACCTCTGATCTCCCCAAACTAAGCCCAGTCTCCCCTTCTCTGGGTCTGTCCTGACCGCTTTCTCCATCTGCCTGGGTGCCTGGAGCCCTGATCGGAGGCCTCCATGCAGGCCATGAAGGAGGGTTTGGAGGTGCCCTGTCTGCCATCCTGCGCCCTGACTCCGCCCTCACACCTGCTGTGTCTTCTCTCTGCATCTGTCCATGCTTTTCTCCATCATCAGCAGGAAGCTCCTTAGCTAAGGATTTAGGATCATAGGACATGAGAGAGATATGGGCTTTTCTCACCTGTGACAGAAACAAGCAGTGGGTCACTCGGGTCTGACCACTCGTAGGGAGAGTGACGGAAAGAGCCGAAGCATCTGTAGGTCCCTCCGTGGGTGGCAGGGCCCAGAGGGAAATCTGCCTGGAATGTTCTGTTGACCTTGCGCACTGCAGGGAGCCTACGTTCATGGGCTCCCCCCTCCCTGGATAGATGGTACATGTCATAGGAGCTCCGGGAGCTACAGGACAAGGTCACGCTCTCTCCTGCCTGAACCTTGGGGCCCGGCTGGGCTGAGAGAGAAGGTTTCTCATATAGACCTGGAAGGAGAAGAGGCAGTTTCCTCAGGGAGGTTCTTCCTTGTCACAGCTCCCCTCACACCTGAGCTGAGAACTCACTCCCCTGCTCTATGACCTAATGCTCTCTCTCTCTCTCTCACTCTCCACCCCATCTCTCTTCATATCTGTTTCCTCCTTCTACCTTTTCTGTCTCTCTAGGTCTATGACCTCACTTCCCCACCCTGAGGTATGTTTTCCCTTTTTGGATTGTTTTATTCTCTCTGACCCTCCTTGGATTGGTTGACTTGATCTTCCTTTTTCTTTAATTTTGAGTCTCTCACTTTCTGTCTTGTTCATAACTTTCTGCACATTTCTATCTATTATCTATCGATCTATCTATTTATCTATTTTGTGTCTATCTACAAATTATCTATCATCTATATTTATGTATCACTTATCTATCTCTCTATCAATTGTCTATCTGTCTATCTATCCATCAATCATCTATTATCTATATATGTATCATCTATCTCTCTCTCTATTACCTCTCTGTCTGCCTCTCTGTCTCTATTTATGTATCATCTATGTATATATCTATGTGTCTATCATCATCATCGTCATCATCATCATCTCTATGTATCATCTATCAGTCATCATCTATGTATCTATAACCAATCCATTATCTATCATCTACCTATTTATCATCTATCTACGTCTATCTATCCATCTATCATCTCTCTCTCTCCGTCTCCTTGTCTTTCTCTGCCTCTCAGTCTCTCTAGTTCTATTTGGAATCTCTGCAATCCATCCCCACATCTTTATCTTTCTCTGTCTTTGTGTCCCTCCCTCAGGGTTCTGATTTTGGGGCTTTTCTCTCCTCCTTTCCATCATTCTCTCCACTCTGCCCTCTTTTCTTTCTTTTTATGTGTCTGTGAATCTCTTAATCTCCTTCTTCTGGCTCATTTTGTGTGTGTTTATGTCTTTGCTTTTTGGTGTCCCTGATTTTTCTCTGTGTCTCTCAGCGATCCTATCATATGTGGGATTATTTGGAATATGAGCCTCAGAATCCAGTCTGGGGACCCCAAGTTCACACAGCATACAGGGGTTGGTGTTCTGGGGCCATGATATCCTGGGATGATTACTCTCCATTGCATGGAAGGCAGAGGTGTCAGAATAAACACGGCATCTGTAGGTGGCACAAGGCCTGAGGCCACAGGGCCCAACTCAGGTCAGAAATATGGGTGTCCTTGGGTTCTTCTGGTAGAAACACTTTGTGGAGGTAAAACAGAAATGAAACTTCTAACCTGTGCCAGGTCTCTGAGCAAAGTCAGCATGGAAGGACACCTCTCTCTGGGACATGTCTGTCTGTCTGAGTGTCTCCTTTACCTCTTTCTCTCTTTTCTACCTCCCTGTATGGCCCCTGTGTCTGTCCCCTGTTATGACACCTGTTCTGTACTTATGTCTCCTGTTTCTCTGTCTCTGTTGGTACAGACCTCACCAAGTCACTCTCTTTCCATAAGAATCCCACACTTATCTTCCTCATGACCACCTGGGGGTTCCAAGTCCTGGATCATTCACTCTGTGTCCCAGTGACAATGAGAACAATGTCTAGACACTCTCACCTGTGACCACGATGTCCAGGGGATCACTGGGAGCTGACAACTGATAGGGGGTGTGAGTAACAGAACCGTAGCATCTGTAGGTCCCTGCAAGGGCACGCATCATGGAACCGATGGAGAAATTGGCCTTGGAGACCCCATCATGGATCTGTCCAACGAGGCGTGAGGGGTCCTTAGAGATCCACTCTTTGTGCAGAAAGAAGTGCTCAAACATGATATCTGACCAACATTGCAGGATGACTCTCTCTCCTGATTTCACCAGGGGACCTGGGTGGGCCAGGAGGGAAGGTTTTCTGTGGTTTCCTAGAAAGAGAAGTTGTGAGTTTAGAAGGCATCTCTCTTTATCATCCCATCCATGGCACCTGGAATGAGTGAGGGTTCCCCTCCCCGTGTCTGTCTCTCTCCTCCCTCTCTGCATCTCCGTGTCTTTTCTGTGCCCATATCCCCTGGTGCAGGTGCCTCCATCTGTCTTCCTCCCTCTTCTCTGTCCCTCTGTCTCCAGTAGCCCCTGACTCCCTTGCCACTGTGAAGACAGCCTCATCTCTTGGGCTGTTGTATCTGTTTCCCACTAATCTCTTTCCTGCTGTTTATATGGGGGTGGAAGAGGACAGGCTGCATGTCCAGGCTCTTAGCAGCCTGAATCAATCTCTTTTGAACAAATTGGAGTCTCTGGCAGGTGGTATCAACTCATCAGTAAGACAGACATCAGTGACCACACACCCTGTTCCTGATGGGGATTGGGAGCCTCTCCTGCCATGTCTGTGCCTTCTCCATGGCCCCAGCTTCCATAGGGTGGCCCCTGGTGCTGGTTCCAGGAGCATCAACCCCTTCCTATGTGGATGGAGCCTGGTGGTAACATCAGCATCCTGCCCTTGCTGATCTCAGGGTAGCCAACCTTCTCCTTGTTTGGTTTCTTTAATTAATTGATTAATTAATTTATTTTTGAGACAGTCACTTTTTCACCCAGGCTGGAGTGTAGTGGTGTTGTCTTGGCTCACTGAAACCTCTGCCTCCCCAGTTCAAGTGATTCTCTTGCCTCAGCCTCCCCAGTCGTTGGATTACTCGCGCCCACCACCACACCTGGCTGTCCTTGTTTGGTTTCCTAACTTGTCCTTGACCTGGGTTCCTAACTTGTCCTTGACCTGGGTTCCTGTGTTGGTTTCCTGTTGCTGCTGCAGAAAATTACCACAAACATGGCAGCAGGAGAGAACACACTGACCCCTTCCACTTCTGGAGACAGAAATTGGATCCAGTTCTCCCTGTGCTGAAATCAAGGCGTCTACAGGGCTGCGTTCCCTCTGGAGAATCAGCGAATCAGTTCTCCTGACTTCTCCAGCCCTTAGAGGCCACCTGCATTCTGTGACTAGTGGTCTTCCTCCACTTTCAAAGCCCGCAGTGGCTGATAGCGTCTCCCTCCCACTACACTGCTCTAATCCCCACTCCCCTCTTCCTCCACCTCTCACGCGGACCCTTGTGATTACACTGAGCCCAGTGGGACAGTCCAGGCTGTCTCCCCATCTCAAGGTCAACTCATCAACAACCTGAGCTCCACCTTCCCCTTCAGTCCCCTGCCCTATAACATAAATAGTCACAGGCTCCAGGGATTACAATGTAGCCATCATTGGGGACAGTTATTCTTCCCACCACAGCACCCATTTGCCCTGTATTCAATCTCCCTTGACCCCAAATACAGCCAGGGCCTGGGTGATGGGACCCTGACGGACAGCCCCACCAGAAGCTCTGGGATTCAGGAGGTGGGACAGTGAGAAGCCCAGACGGAAAGCCTCTGACCTGTGACCATGATCACCATGGGGTTGCTGGGTGCCGACCACCCAGTGGGGGAGTGTGGGTGTGAACCCCGACATGTGTAGTTCCCTGCATGTGCTGTGGTCACAGGGCTCATGTTGAAGCCCTCCTGGAATATTCTGCCATGGAAGATGGGAACGTGGATTCTGTCTTCTTTGTATAGCATGAAATTGTTAAACCTATGACGATAGTGACACCGAAGAGTCACGTGTCCTCCGCGAGGCACCACAGCGCTGGGCCAGGCAGACAGGAAGGGCTTGTCCTGACCACCTGGGGGAGAAGGAGGCACTGCCTTAGAGAGGAGGATGTGGAGCCGCCCCTCACTCCCAGTGCCCAGAAGATTCTCCCCATTTCCACTTTCTAAGGCTCCTACCACACCTGGGTGCCCAGGGCTACAGGAAGGACCCATCCTGCATAGACATGGCGTCTCCCTACAACAAGTGTCAGCTGAGAACTTTGAGCAAGTGCTGGAGAAGCAACTCTTACTAGATTTTAATACTGCAAAATTACTCATATAAAACAATACAAAGTAGACACGGCATGGAGGGCAAGTCCTATGTGAATGGAATATCAGCCAATTGATGAACTGAGCCCCCATCAGAGGATTTGGAATGTCAGGGCCATGGCTGTGGTTTCCTCACCTTTTCTGGTAGAAAGACCGCAGCCACACTGCAGCCCCTACCATCACGGAAACGCTGGAGGGTGTGAGTTACACCTTTGTCCTCAGAGGACCTGCTGTTCCTAGCACTGCTTCCCTCTCTTTCTCTGCTGCTGACACCACTTCCTCCCTGCACACCCATCTTGGAGCACCCTAGTCTCACCCCAGTCTTCACAGAGCTTGACTCAGGAAAGGGAAAGAAAGGCCGGGGAGGGCAAGGTCAGAAATGTGGGCCGAGCATCCGAGGGTCCCCTCTTCCTAGTGTATGAGAGACTCCCCGACAGGACTTCCCTCCCATTTCAGGAAAATCCTCTTATGTGGGGAGATGACACCCTAAGGTTTGGGGAAGGACTCACCCATGTGTGGACCGGCCCTCTGGACCAAGAACAACCCTAGAAAGAAAGATCATGATGGACCATCCATCTGCAGGCAAACCAGGGCACCCTGCTGCCCCCACTGGGTTGTGCGTCTTGGCAGCCAGGCCCTTGCTGGGCTGAAGGTAAACTCACCCTCGCTGCCTACCTGCCCCCAGGAACAAGGATCTCGGCTGTGCAGAGACTCAGCCTCCAGGCCCAGATCTCTACCTCCAGGCCTAGATCTACACAACAGGCCCAGATCTCCACTCCAGGTCCGTATCTCCACTCCAGACCCATATCTCCTCTCCAGGCTGATAAGTCCACTCCAGGCCCATATCTCCACTCCAGGCTCCTATCTCAACTCCAGGCTCATATATCCACTCCAGGCTCATATCTCCACTCCAGGCCCATATTTCCACTCCAGGCTTCTATCTCCTCTCCAGGCCCATATCTCCTTTCCAGGCTTGTATGTCTGCTCCAGGCCCGTATCTCCACCCCAGGCCCATATCTCCACTCCAGGATCATATCTCCACTCCAGGCCCAGATCTCCACTTCATGCCCTTAACTCCACCTCCGGGCCCATAACTCCACCTCTAGGCCCATATCTCCACTCCAGGCCCATATCTCCACTTCAGGCCCATATCTCTACTGCAGGCCCATAACTCCACCTCCAGGCCCATATCTCCACTCCAGGCCCATCGCTCCACTTCTAGGCCCATCACTCCACCTCTAGGCCCACATCTCCCCTCCAGGCCCATATCTCCCCTCCAGGCCCATATCTCCACCCCAGGCACATATCTCCACCCCAGGCCCATATCTCCACTCCAGGCCCAGATCTCCACTCCAGGCACATATCTCCACCCCAGGCCCCTATCTCCACTCCAGGCCCAGATCTCCACTCCAGGCCCAGATCTCCACTTCAGGCCCATAACTCCACCTCCAGGCCCATAACTCCACCTCTAGGCCCATATCTTTACCTCCAGGTCCAGATCTCCATCCCCGCACTCCCTCCCTCGATTCCCTTCCAGGACTCACCAACACACGCCATGCTGACGACCATGAGCAACATGGTGCTGCCGGTGCAGACAGGCGGCTGCGCCCCAGCTCAGCTCAGCAGCGCACAGGATGTTATTTGGCGCCCTGCCCATGCAGTTTACATGTTGACCACATCATGGGAGGGTGACGTACGCAGGCTCTTTCTACCTTGCATGAGGCCCAGTGGGTGCTCGCTCAAGAGCGGAGCATGGCTTCCTGGAAATTGCTCTCACTAGAATTGACACCTCGCGTCCTTCACTATGACCAACTCAAAACACGTCTCAGATCCAACCTCCTGAACACGAGATGCCTAAAATCTGTGCTAACATGAAAGACTTTTCATGTATTTTTATTGCTTTTATCTGAGATTCAAACTCTTCTTCCTGTGTAATATGCAAAATATCTAATAGGTATTATTAAGGTTTTCAGAGCAATTGTGACTAATAAACCATTAGAATTTTTCATGATTGTATTTCTAGTATTACAGCAGAACCAGTTCAAATGATTTAAACTCCCAGGGAAGGATTATGCAATTATTTACAATCTTAGAATTGTACTTTATCAGCAAAAATCACAACATGTAAATTCTGGATTTTTGTAGATTTATCTAGAATTTGTCTCATGTCCCAAGATTCCAGAGTTCCAACTCATGGTTTGCTCTCTCTCTGTCTCTCTGCCTCCCTCATTTTAAATTTTACAGAAATATCCAGTAACATAATGCTATAGAAAATCAATTTCCCCAGCACTTTGGAAGCCGAGGTGAGTGATCAACCGAGGTCAGGAGTTTGAGACCAGCCTGGCCAATATAGTGAAACCATGTCTCTGCTAAAAATACAAAAATTAGCCATGCCTGGTAGCAGGCACTTGTAATGCCAGCTATTCAAGAGGCTGAGGCACGGAATCCCTTGAACCTGGGAGGCAGAAGTTGCAGTGAGCCGAGATCGTGCCACTGCACTCCAGCCTGGGCAACAGAGCGAGACTCTGCCTCAAGAAAAATAAAAAAAGCATAGCAAATAGCCTATAATAAATAACTAGAGGACTCCAGCTACCAAATTTTAGGGGTTGTATAAGGCTGCATAAAATGCAGCATTCTCAAGAGAGTGGACAGAGAGAGAGCCACTGAGCAGAAAACAGTGTCTAAAATACATCCGTGTACACACAGTCCCTTTATAGTTGACAAAGGCTGCCATGTGGTTTAAGGTGGAATAGAATGTCTTCTCAATAAATAACATGGGCCCAAGGGTTACACATGGAGAAAAATATATCTAAAAGTATTCTCACACTATAAAACACTTGTTTATTTTATCTTGTTATTGTAATTTTTTTATGTTTTATATTTAAAATTGAGAAATAAAAATTATATACAGTCATCCCTCATTATTCGTGGGTGATTGGTCTCAGGATCTCCACTCAGATAGCACAATCTGCAGATGCTCAAGCCTCTTACATGAAATGGCACAGCATTTGCAAATAACCCATGCACATCCTCCTGTGTACATGAAATCATCCCTTGATTATTTATAATTCCTGATACAGCCTACACACAGCTTCATTTGTGTCCATTCAACATAGTTTTGCTTTTTGAAACTTTGTGGATTTTTTCTCTGAATATTTTTGATTTATATTTGGTTCAATAAACACCTGTAAATCCCACAGATACAGAGGACCGACTGTATATTTATAGTATGAAAGATGATGTGTTGATATGTGTCCCCGTGGAGATGAGACTAACAAGGCCTATGACTCTACAAATGTTTCATCATGGAATGACTCTGCCAGCTTTCCAGGTCTGCAGAGAGTAAGAATATCACTTGTTCATGTGATTCACGATCCTTGGAACCTCTTATGTGCTGCATCTTTGGATGGAAATTGGAGTCTCAGAGACAAATGAGGCTCCACCCTGCTTCCAGAAGCTCAGAGTCCAGGGGTGAGAACCCAGTGGAGAACAGTTGGAGTTATTTGGACATGGTAATGATAACACTGGAAACTTTCAGCCAAAAAAAGAGTCACCTAAAGAATGAAGGCAGACATGTTTATTTGAAGAGGAGAGAACTACACTGAAATCAAAAAAATTTTATAAGGTTTGCTGATGCCAGAAGGCTGAAAAATAGTCTGAGGAAAGGTGGAACAGCACGAGGGAAGGTGGAACAGCACGTGTCTAAGTGCCGTGTTAAGAGAGAGCCTCTTGTATGTTTGGAATTGTGAGTTCCTCAGTGTGATTGCAGCCTCAAGTAGACTAGGAAGTAAGCCAGTTAGGTTGGAGAGGTGGGCAGGGGTCAAGTGAAATAGAGAATTGTGGGCTAAGCAAAGGAGTGTGTTTTCTCTGCAGCAGGCAGTGGGGACCTTAGACATTGGTAAGCAAGAGACAGGCACCAGATTTGTGGTGTGAGGAAGAGTGATGCTCTAAGATGGAGACTCACGCCTTCAGATTCCAGCTGCTGGTACATTAGAGCTGGCAAGCTGGGTTTGAGACAGGGCTGTTGTCTCCCTAGAAGATCCCATCAAGGCCTGACTGTGGTGCTCATGGGCAGGAGACAACGCTCTGGGCTCAGCATTTGGAAGTTCTATACACACGCTGGTATCTGTTGAGGGTCTCTTGCTCCTCTGAGAAGGGCCAGTGATTTTTCTCTGTGTGAAAATGCAGTGATCCAACTGTGCGTATGTCACCTCCTGAGGGTCTTGTTCATCAGAGTCCTGGAGAGAGGGAAATCCTGAGTGAGGGAGGGTGTTCACATTTTTCAGGACTATTAGGGAATAAGACTGTATCCATGAGGCTGGGCTAGGAGGACCTACCTCCCTGTTCACTGTTCTGTGTCCCGCAGGCTCTTGGTTCATTACAGCAGCATCTGTAGGAGACGGAAGCAATCGAAACAGCTGGGAGGGCACTTCTGGGTCCTCATTTCATGAACAGATACCAACACACAGGGGGAGGCCATAGGTGCCTGAGGTCCCTCAGCTGCCAACAGCCAGACTCAGACATTCCATCTCTCTGAGTGCAAGACCCCATTCCATGAATAGCTGTCAGTTCCCATCCCATTGATTCTATCTCCCACTTTCTGCCTGTCATGGAATCTTCTCCTGGATGTGAGTGGCTGCAGGGGACGTGAGGATACAGTTCACAATCAGGCAATGGTCTGTGAGCTGAAGGCAGGGGCAGGTTGTCTGGTGCTCTCTCTAGAAAGCTCTGCCTCTGGCTCCTGCCTTGGGCCAGAGACTTTCCTGCCAGTGAGGAACACACACCTGCGTGCTCCCATCCTGCTTCCGCACAGGGCCCTGAGTTCTCTGGCCTCTGCTTCGTGAGGCTTACTTTTTTTTTTGGAGCACCAGCGATGAAGGAGAAAGAAGGGAAGGATGGTGAAGAGGATGATGGCCACTGAGTACCTAATCACAGCATGCAGGTGTCTGGCGATACCTGGAGGAAGATGAGAATCCAATAAGAAGCTAACCATAGCAGTTCCTCTTTGTGGATTGTCTCTCATTTCTTGGTTGCCAGGCAACCACATAAAACACCTCTTTAGGACAAGCACCCACGAGGCGGGAGACCCAGCTTTCTCCTGCTTTCTCCGTTATAGTTTTCATAATAACAATAGAATGTGCTGATGATACAACTGCTATTGTTTCAATGTTTGACCCCTCCAAACCCCACTTTGAAATTTAATCCCCAGTGTGGGAGGTTGTGCCTATTGGGAGGGGTGTTTTGGTCATGGGGGTGGATCCATCATGAATAGATTAATGCTGTCCCCAGAGGACGGGGTTAGCAAGTTCTCCCTCTATTAGTACCCTGGAGAGTTGATTCTTAAAAAGAGCTTGGAAGCTCCATCACACCCCCTTTCTCCCTCTCTTGCCATGTGATCTCTGTGGTCTCTGCACACGCAGGACCCCCTTCTCTTCTGTCAGTGTGGGAGCAGCCTGAGGCCGCAGCCAGAAATAGATGGTAGTGTCCTGCTTCTAGTACAGCGTGCAGATCAGTGAGCCAAACACATCTCTTTTCTTTAGAAGATACCCAGGCTCAAGTGTTCTTTTATAGCAACAAAAATAGGCTAAGACAGCAACATCCTGAGATCAGGAGGAACGTCTCAGAACAGCCTGGGCTGTCTTCCTGTTCTTCCTGGAGGAGAACATCATGCAGTGCTTTAGCTGAGTGTTCCCTGTGGCTCCAGGGTACAAAACCCAGGCTGGGCTGCTTTCTGGCTTCCCCCAGCTACAGTGCACATGAAGTGACTCCATGTGTCCTGAGCAGTTTTTCTGAGCCTTGAGGGACTGGCTCACCCTGAAAGGAAGGTTTCTGTTGTCACTCGCTGCTTATCTATAAGTAATGAACCTGCCTATGTAATGTATTCCCTGTGTGTTCTGTCTCCCTGGAGTGATGGTGAGTGATAGAAATTGGCACAGCCCCAGGTGCAGTATGGGAGGTGTTTAGAGTCTTCTCTGGGAAGACTGGACTGGGATTGATACACAGTGAATGTGCTTTACAGTTTCTACATCCACAACCCTCTTGACTCAAACAAATTACATTCTCCAAGAAAAGGAAAAAACAGTGACATTGAAATCAACATAAGTGAGGTTGAGCTGTCTTATATCAAACAGCCAGGAAATAATGATGAAGCTCGTGGGCAACATGCTACTTTTGTCATCTTGGGAGTCAGATATTAGGCTGCTGTTCCACCCGAGAGTCTGGGGGAAAGACCACCCCCTCCATCATCTGTTGCTTCAATACAGCCTGTCTTTCTGTGAATTACTCCAAAAGGTGACCAGGAGATAGTGCTGGCACTGGTCTCTGAGTCTACGATCTGAACTCCAAAGAATATTAGTTTTTACCTCCCCATGATCTATCTGTATCATTAATGTGATTGGAAGTAGGGGTGAGGTGGGGGATTTGGGTGAAGGGGCAAGTTTTGTGCCATGAACAGATCACGTTCTCTATTCCAGGACCTGCGCTGGTGGGTTTCACATTTTCCATATGATCTCATGCTCACAGAAAGCCAAATAAGGAAGATGTTTTCGCCTGATTTTCTTATGGATAGGATAAAGGATCAAAGAAGTCATTATAGAGAAATAGAAAAATGATGATTGGAATTGGTGTGCCTTTGTCATTCGTGTATGTTATATTATATTTATGTATTCTTTATTTTTATTTTTTGCCATGGAGTCTCACTCTGTCACCTAGGGTGCAGTGCAATGACGCGATCTTGGCTCACTGTAACCTCTCCCTCCCTGGTTGAAGCCATTCTCCTTCTTCAACTTCCCGAATAGCTGGTATTACAGGCATGCGCCACCACCCCCAGCTAGTTTTTGTATATTTAGTAGAGATGGGGTTTCACCATGTTGTCCAGGCTGATCTCGAACTCCTGATCTCACTTGATCCAGCCTCCTCAGCCTCCCAAAATGTTGGGTTACAGGTGTGAGCCACCGTTCAGAACCTTGTGTGTTATATTATAATAGGTCTCTTCCTTTGCACCACCCCTCATGTATCTCTCACTCCTCTGCCAAGTATTGATTTACATGTAGGAAAAATAAATCTCAGAAAGAAATCAATGAAGTGAAGATTAAACAATTAGGAAAAATCAAAGCAGGCAAGCCCTCCCTGCAAATTACTCTACCTCACAAACACATCTTGTGTCCATCTTTCATTCATTTAGTGTCTAAATCAGCACCACATTTCACCAGGGGGGCGGGAATTGCCTTTTCCACAGTCTCCTAGATTCCAGTTATGCACCTGGGCCTCCCTTATTTTCATGTCAGTCACTATTCATCATGTAGGGATTCCCAGTTAGCCCCGAGGTAAGTCCAATGGCTGTGAGTGTCAAACACACGCTCCTTGTTCCTCCTTAGTTTCCTGTGTACCCAGAGTGCTCTCTGTCTCTCCACAGTCGTCTTGTCATTCTCCCCATCTCATTCCCAGCATTTCAGGCAGAGCCTCTTCCTTCCACATAACATTGTTTTCACCTTTGTGCCTTCACGGCTGACAGCTGTGTGGAAAATCCTTCCGCCAATCTTCCAGGGGTTGATCTATTTTTTTCATTAAGGTCACAAGTATTATTTGATCAGTGAGAACTTCTCTGTCACCCGAAATTATACACTCAGCATTATCTATTATTTCTTTTAAAATACGGCTCGGCGCCTTGGCTCACGCCTCGAATCTCAGCACTTTGGGAGGCTGAGACGGGCGGATCCCTTAAGGTTGGGAGTTTGAGATAGCCTGGGCAACATGGTAAAACCTTGTCTGTACTAAAAAAAAAATACCAAAAAAAAATTAGCCAGGCGTGGTGGGACATGGGTGTAATCCCAGCCTCTCGGGAAGCTGAGTGTAGAGAATCGCTTTAACCTGGGAGGTGGAGGTTGCGGTGAGCCGAGATCCCGCCACTGCACTCCAGCCTGGGGCACAGAGGGAGACACCGTCTCATAAAAACAACCAATCAATCAATCATTCTCATGCACAGATGCTTCCCAATGGATCATTCATTTATTGGTCCACTGGTGCATTCATTTTCTGCCCTCCCATTTAATCCTTTGCAATATCAGTGTCCAAGAGCAGAGGCCAAATGCACCTTGTTTACCATTTGTGGAAAGGATAAGAATGCCGCCCCACCCCAAAATGTTCCTGTCCTAGTCGCCATATCTTGTGAATATGTTATTTTACATGGAAAAAAGGAATGCAGATTGCAGATGGAATTACGGTTGCTAATCAGCTAACCTTAAAAGGAGGGTATCCTAGATGATTTTAGGGAAATTATGATGGATTATCTTGGTGTTTCCAATAGAATGCCAAAGTCCTTAAAAGATGAGGAAGAAGGCAGAGCAGCATTCAGAGAAAGAGGTGTGGACAAGGAAGAAGGGTCTGAGTGATGCCGTGTGAGAGGCGTGACCAGCCTTTGTGGACTTTGAGGGAGGAAGACGGGGACCAGGAGCCAAGGAATGTGGGAGCCTCTAGGAGCTGGGAAAAGTGAGGAAGCAGATTCTTGCCTGGAACATTCAGAGGGAAGGCAGCCTTGCTGTCACCTTGATTTTAGCCCAGTGAGATGATGCATTTCATACTTCTGAGCTACAGCACCATGAGATATTTTTTTAAAATGTGGTTTCCATCCACGAAGCTTGTGGAAATTTGTTATGGCAACATAGGAAAAGGTTCCACACTGCACAGTCTGAGCATGGGGCAGTGGCTGAACGAGTAAGTGGAAGTGTCATGTGCACGGATGAACTACGTTCTCTCTTACCGCAAAGCTCTTGTTCCACTAAGTCAACCAGGGTTGGATCATGACAGACAGGAGCTCATTCCTTGGCAAGTAGAACTTCTCTACAAATACACCACCCTCAAAAATGTTCCCCGTCCTTCCCCTTCTCAAGCCCCCAGGCATTTGTCCTCCCAGTTAGGAATGCAGGCAGAACAAACACAGCATTTTTCCTGAGAAGAATGTCTGATTTGCACTCATCCTTCTACCCTGAGGTCTCAGCAGCAGAAAATTAGAGATTAAGAGATTTCACTGAGCCCTGTGCTGGGCCCAGATCCCTTTCGCTGTTGGAGTGTCTGGGGTTCAGAGACAATGGAAGACAGGCCCACAATCACAGAGCTGGCAGGTGCTGAGCCAACGCTTGAATCCAAGGCTTCTACCTCCCCAGGTTTCCAAAAGCAGAGATAAGAGGGGTCCTTCACTTACCAGTTTTGAAGCTTGGTTCAGTGGGTGAAGGCCAACTACTAGAAGGGTTTCCTAGAACATGGGACAGGAGAGAGGTGTGGCAATGAGGATGCCTGTCTTCTACTCAATGGAAATCTTTGAGGTTGGTTCATGGCCAACATTCTATTATCTAATGTTGGGCCCTGGGAGTCCTGGCATCCCATTCTCCATAATCATTGTAGGTGACACCAACTATCTTGAGACTTCAAGGTATAAGGAGAAAACAGGAGCATCACACTACCTGACTTAAAAATATGTTACAGAGCTGTAGTAAGCAAAACAACATGACATTGGCATAAAGAAAAGCACATAAAACAATGGAGCAGAATGAAGAACACGGATGTAATCCACCCATTTACATCCAATGGACTTTGACAAAGGTTCGAAGAATCTACAATCTGGAAAGGACAGTCATTTCAATAAATGGTGCAGGGAAAACTGGATATCTACATGCAGAGGGATGAAACTGCACCTCTACCTCTCACCATACACAAAAATCAGATGAAAATGGATTAATGACTTAAGACCTGAATCCATTAAATGTCTAAAAGGAAACACTGGAGAAATGCTCCAGGACATTTGTCTGAGGGAAGACATTTTGTTTAAAACCTCAAAAACACAAGTAATCACAACAACAACAAAAAAATAGACCATTGGGATTATATCAAATCAAGCAGCTTCTGCACCGCAAAGGAAGCAACCAATGAAGTGAAGAAGAGACAACCCACAGAATGGGAGCAAATATTTGCAAACTATGCATCTGAGATGGGATTAATAACTAGAATATAAAAGAAGCTCAAACACCTCAATAAAACTAATAATTTAATTATAAAATTAGTAAAAGACCTGAACAGACATTTCTCAATGAACAAAACATACAAATGAACATATATACATTGCATATATGAAAAAGTGCTCAGTATCACTAATCATCAGAGAAATGCAAATGAAGTCACAATGAGCTATCATCTCACCCCATTACAATGGGTTTTATCTCAGAGACAGACAAAACAAATGTTGGCAAGGTGGTGGAGAAAGGAGAACCCTGATACACTGTTGATAGGAATGTAAATTAATACAGCCATTACAGAGGAGAAGAATATGGAAGTTCCTTAAAAACTAAAAAGAGATTAGGCACTGTGGCTCACGCTTGTAATCCCAGCACCTTGGGAGGCTGAAGTGGGCAGATCACTGGAGGTCAAGAGTTCGAGACCAGCCTGGCTAACATGGTGAAACCCCGTCTCTACTAAAAATACAAAAATCAGCCAGGCGTGGTGGCGGGCACCAGTAATCCCAACTACTCGGGAGGCTGAGGCTGGAGAATCACTTGAATCCTGGAGGTAGAGGTTGCAGTGAGCCCAGGTGGTGCCATTGCACTCCAGCTTGGGCAACAAGAGTGAAACGCTATGTCAAAAAAACAAAAAGCATAAAACAAAACCTAAAAAGAGAACATCCAGAGGATCTAGCAATTCCACTAGTGGGTGTAAATGCAAAGAAAAGGACTTCAGTGTATTGAAGTGACATCTGCACTCCCATGACTGTTCCAGCACTGTTCACAGTAGCCAAGATGTGGAGTCAACCTACCTGCCCATCAGTGGATGAATGGATAGAGAGAATGTAGTACATACACACAATGGAGACAACTCATCCATACAAAGAGAAACGTCCTGTCATTTGCAGCCACATGGATGGACTGGAGGTCATTACAAGGATTGCCATTTCTTACTCACATGCAGGATGTAAAAGGTGGACCTCATGAAGGTAGAGAGTAGAATGGTGGATACCAGAGGTTAGGAAGGAAGGGGTGGAGGGTAACAAAAGAAGAATATAAAAGTATTTATTTATTTATTTAGAGACAGAGTCTCTCTGTGTCACCAGGCTGCAGTGCAGTGGCATGATCTCAGCTCACTGCAACCTCCTCCTCCTGGGTTTAAGCCACTCTCCCGCCTCAGCCTCCCAAGTTGCTGGGATTATAGGCGCCTGGCACCATGCCTGGCTAATTTTATTTTTTTTGTCTTTTTAGTAAAGATTGGTTCCCCCATGTTGGCCGGGCTGGTCTCCAGCCCCTGATTTTAAATGATCCACCTGCCTTGGCGTCTCAAAATGCTGAGATTACAGGCGTGAGCCACCGCACACAGCATATAAAGGTATTTATGATCCCTAGATTTTACACTTAAAAATGGTAAAGTTGATAAATTATATAGGTATATTTAACCTCAATCAGCATTTTTTCAAAGGAAAAGAAAAAGTGTAGGGGTTGCTGGTGATGACATCTCTGTGTAGGTGAGAGGCCAGGGTGGGCTTCTGGGAAATGGGTAAGGTTGAGGGGCTGAGGGAACCTCTGATCTCCCCAAACTGAGCCCAGTCTCCCTCCTCTGGGTCTGTCCTGACCACTTTCTCCATCTGCCTGGGTACCCGGAGCCCTTACTGCAAGCTTCCATGCAGGCCATGCAGGAGGGTTTGGAGGTGCCCTGTCTGCCATCCTGTGCCCTGATCCCACCCTCACACCATGCTGCATCTTCTCTCCACATCTGTCCATGCTTCTCTCCATCATCAGCAGGAAGCTCCTCAGCTAAGGCTCTAGGACCATAGGACATGGGACAGACATTGGCTTTCCTCACCTGTGACAGAAACAGGCAGTGGGTCACTCGGGTCTGACCACTCGTAGGGAGATCCATGGAAAGAGCCGAAGCATCTGTAGGTCTCTCCGTGGGTGGCAGGACCCAGAGGGAAGTCGGCCTGGAATGTTCCATTGATGCTGGGCACTGCAGGGAGCCTAAGTTCATGGGCTTCCCCCTCCCTGGATAGATGGTAGATGTCAAAGGAGCTCTGGGAGCTGCAGGACAAGGTCACGTTCTCTCCTGCGCGAACCGTGGGGCCCGGCCGGGCTGTAAGCGAAGGTTTCTCATATAGACCTGGAAGGAGAAGAGGCAGTTTCCTCAGGGAGGTTCTTCCTTGTCACAGCTCCCCTCCCACCTGAGCTGAGAACTCACTGCCCTGCTCTATGGCCTAGTGCTCTCTCTCTCTCTCTCTCTCTCACCCTCCACCCCCAACTCTTCCTGTCGATCCCTCCCTATGTGGTTCCAGCCTGGTGGTGGCATCAGCAGTGCACCCTTGCTGATCTCAGGGTAGCCAACCTTCTTGTTTGGTTTTTTAACTTGTCCTTCACCTGGGTTCCTGTGTTGGTTTCCTGATGTTGCTGGAGAAAATTATCACAAACATGGCGGCAGGAGAGAACACACTGACCCCTTCCACTTCTGGAGACAGAAATCAGACCCTGTTCTTCCTGGGCTACAATCAAGGCATCTGCAGGGCTGCATTCCCTCTGGAGACTCGGGAGAATCAGTTCCATTGATTTCTCCAGCCCCTTCGTGGCTCGTGGTCTTCCTCCACCTTCAAAGCCCACAGTGGCTGGTGGAGTATCCCACGATGCTGCTCTAATCCCCATTCTCCTCTTCCTTCTCCACTCATATGGACCCTTGTGATTACACTGAGCCCAGTGGGAGGGTCCAGGCCATCTCCCCATCTCAAGGTCAACTCATCAACAACCTGAGCTCCATCTTCCCCTTCAGTCCCCTGCCCTATAACATAGTCACAGGCTCCAAGGATTACAATGTGGCCATCGATGGGGACAGTTATTCTTTCCAACACAGCACCCATTCCCCTGTATTCAATCCCCCTTTACCCCAAATATAGTTGGGGCCTGGATGATCGGACTCTGGTGGACACCCCCACCAGAAGCTCTGGGACTCAGGAGGTGGGACAAGGAGAAGCCCAGACAGGAGCCCTCTGACCTGTGACCATGATCACCAGGGGGTTGCTGGGTGCCGACCACTCAGTGGGGGAGTGCGGGTGAAAACCTCGACATCTGTAGGTCCCTGCGTGTGCTGGGGTCACAGGGCTAATGAGGAAACTGTTCCAGAATATTCTGTTGTAGAGCTCAGGGACAGGGACCCCATCTTTCTTGTACAGCGTGAAGATGTTAAACCCACGACGACAGTGACACCGAAGAGTCACGTGTCCTCCTTGAGGCACCACAGCGCTGGGCCAGGCAGAGCAGAAGGGCTTGTCCTGACCACCTTGGGGAGAAGGAGATGCCGCCTCAGAGAGGAGTATGTTGAGCTGCCCCTCCCTCCCTGTGCTCAGAAGATTCTCCCCATTTCTTCTTTCTAAGGCTCCTACCACACCTGGGTGCCTGGGGCTACAGGAAGGACCCATCCCGCATAGACGTGGCGTCTCCCTACAACAAAAGTGTCAGTTGAGAACTGAGCAGGTGCTGAGTAAGGGACTCTTACTAGATTTTAATACTGCAAGATTAGTTACACCAAACAACACAAAGTAGACATGGGGTGGAGGGTATGACCTTTGTGAATGGAATATTAGCTAATGCCTGAACCACAATAAACAACTGAGCTCCATCAGAGGATTTGGAATGGCAGGGTCGTGGCTGTGGTTCCCCCACCTCTTCTGGCAGAATGACAGCAGCCACACTGCAGCCCCTACCGTCATGGAAACGCTGGAGGGTGTGAGTTACCCTCTTGTCCTCAGAGGACCTGCTGTTCCTAACACTGCTACCCTTCCCTCCTCTGTCGGTGACACCACATCCCCCCACACACCCCAGCTTTGAGCACCTCAGTATCCCGCCTGGGCCACACAGAGCTCAACTCAGCCATGGGGAAGAAAGGCTGGGGAGGGCTAAGACAAAACAGAAGGCTGAGCATACCAGGATCTCCTCTTACTAGTTCATGAGAGACTCCCAGGATCTCCTCTTACTAGTTCATGAGAGACTCCCAGGATCTCCTCTTACTAGTTCATGAGAGACTCCCCCCAGGCCTTCCCATGGTCAGCCCATCAGCCCACCCTCTGTGCTGCCTCCCTCCCATTTCCGGAAAATTCACTTGTATTGGGGTGAAGATGGCAACCCATCATTTGGGGAAGGACTCACCCACGTGTGCCCACACACTCTGGTCCAAGAAGAACCCTGCAAAGAAAGATCATGAGGAACTATTCATCTCGGCAGCAACCTACCCTTTCCTCCTGAGCCACTGGGCGCCACGCTGGACTGAAAATTAACTCATCCTCACCACTCACTTGCTTCAGAACATGGCTCTCTGCTGGGGAGACACCCAATCTGCAGGCCCATAGTGTAACCCTGGTGCTCCTTCCCTTCCAGGACTCACCAAGACATGCCAGGATGATGACCGTGGGTGACATGGACATGGTGCAGCTTCTGCTGCCAGGACGCAGTGACTCGGCTCGACTGACCGGTGCAGAGGATGTGGTGAGGGGCCCGGATCGTGCAGTTGACACATTGACCACAACATGTGAAGGGGACATAGGTAGGCTTCTTCTACGTCATATGAGGTTCAAGTGGTGAATCAGTCAAGGGAGGAATGAGGGTTTCTGAAAACTGCAGACTAGACTTGTCACTTCACATCATGCGCAACGGCCAGGCTCAAAACACATCTCAGACTCACTTACCCCTGCACGGGACGATTGAATTCTGCACTCACATGAGGAACTTTTGATGTATTTTTTTTTGTTTCTACCTGAGATTCAAACTCTCCTTGATATGTAATATGCAAAATACCTAATAGGTTTTATTAACACTATAGAGCAATCGTATTAAATAAATCATCATAATTTTCCATGGTTGTATTTTTCCTGTTAAGCCAGAAACAGATAAAATGATTTAAATCCCAGTAGAAAAGACTATATAGTTATTTCGCATCATAGAATTCCACCTTATTAGCAAAAACACAATATGTCAATTGAAGGTCTGGTCGTGTTATCTAGAATTTGTCTTATGACACAAGAGTCCAAATTCACAGTTCCCTGTCTCCCTTTTTGTCTCTCTGTAACGTGTGCTTTTTTTCTCCCTGTGTTGTTTGTGTGTCTTTCTTTCTCTCTCTCATTTGAGGAAAAAATATCAGACTGATAACATCCTCCAACTTGATACTGGAATATTGCAATAACTGAAGGTTGAAATCTACACATTTAATGTGCTGTCATTCTTACAAATGTCTCTTATTTACACCTACCTTTCTGGAGTTTGTAAGAACTTTTTCACTATGCATTTTAAATTTGTAAAACTCATAATTTTTAAAAAGGGATGGGTCTCACTGTTTGCCCAGGGTGGCCTTTACTCATTCTATAAGGCTGGCATCACCCTGATACTAAAGACAGAAAAGAACATTAAACAAAAGAAAACTACATGCCAATATTCCTGATGAACATAGAGGCAAAAATCCACAAAAAATACTAAGAACTGAATCCCGCAGCATATCAAAAAGTGAATCCACCATGATCAAGTCAACTTTATTCTTAGGGTGCAAGGTTGGTTGAACATACACAATCAATACATGTGATTCATCACCTAAACAAAACTAAAAACAAAAACCACATGATCTTCTCAACACACATGTAGAACATACTTTTTACTAAGCATTTCTTCATGTTAAAAGCCCTCAACAAGCTAAGCATTGAAGAAACATAACTCAATATAATAAGAGCCGCCTGTGACAAACCCACAACCAACATCATACTGAATGAGTAAAAGCTGGAAGAAGTTCCCTTCATAAGTGAAACAAGACAAGAATGCCCACTCTCACCATCCTATTCAACATAGTACTTGAAGTCCTAGACAGAGCCATCAGGAAAGAGAAAGAATTATAAGGCATCCAAGTAAGAAGAGAGTAGCAGAGAGAGGTAGTCAAATTACCTCTGTTTGAAGATGAGATAATTTCTATACCTAGAAACCCCATAGTCTCTGCCCAAAGGCTCCTACATCTGAGAAACAAACTTCAGCACAGTTTAAGGGCAGAAAGTCAATGTACAGGCTGGGTGTGGTGTCTCAGCCTGAAATCTAGCACTTTGGGAGGGCGAAGCGGGTGGATCACCTGAGGTCTGGAGTTCGAGACCAGCCTGGCCAACATGGCGAAACCCTGTCTCTACTAGAAACACAAATATAGCCGGACGGGGTGGTACGCAACTGTAGTCCCAGCTGCTTGGGAGGCTGAGTCAGGAGAACCGCTTGAACCTGGGAGGCAGAGGTTGCAGTGAGCGGAGATCACGCCATTGCACCTCAGCTTGGGCAACAACAGTGAAACTGCATCTCAAAAAAAAAACCAAAACAAATTTAATTAATGAGGAAAAGGGTATTTGTGGTGTCCATCATGATGTTTTCATATAGGTACACATTGTGGAATGGATGAAACAACCTCTTTATCATATTTATTTTTTCACATACTTGTATGTTTTGTGTGTGTGGTGAGAACATGTAAAATCTAATCTCTTAGTAATGTTCAATACACCATATGTTGCTATTAACTGGAGTCACCAAGACATACAATAGATCTCTTGAACCGATTTCTTCTAACTGAAATTTTGCATCCTTTGACCAACATCTCTTCAATCTCTCTCCATCCCAGGTTCTTTCGACGACCATTTTACTGTTCCTCTAGGTTCCACTTCTTACACTCCACACATGAGATCATGTGGCATTTGTCTTTCTGTGCCTGGATTGTTTCCCTTAACATAATGTCCTCTAAGTTTTTTCACATTGTCACAAATGAGAGGACTTCCTTCTTTGTTGTAAAGGTTGTATAGTACTTCATTACGTTCCTATCGTATACCACGTTTTCTTTGTCCATGCACCCATAGATGGGCAGTAAGGGTGATTCCACATCTTGGCTGTTATGAATAATGCGGCTGTAAACATGGGAATGCAGATATCTCTTCAACATACTGATTCCACTTCCTTTGGATACATGCGCAGTAGTTGGATTGCAGACACATATGGGAATTCTATGTTTAATTTTTTCAGGAACTTCCAGACTGTTTTCCATAATGGTTGTGCTAATTTACATTCCCATCAACTGCATACAAATGTTCCCTTTTCTCCACATCCTCGTTAACCCTTGTTATTTTTTATGTTTTTGATAATGGTCTTTTTTTTTTTTTTTTTTTGAGACTCAGTCTTGCTCTGTCACCCAGGCTGGAGTGCAGTGGCACAATCTCGGTGTACTGCAACCTCTGCCTCCTGGGTTCAAGCGATTCCCCTGCCTCAGTCTCCAGAGTAGCTGGGACTACAAGTGTGCGCCACCAAACTCTGCTAATTTTTGTATTTTTAGTAGGGATGGGGTTTCACCATATTGGCCAGGCTGGTTTCGAACTGCTGACCTCAGGTAATCTCCCTGCCTCGGCCTCCCAAAGTGCCTGAATTACAGGCATGAGCCACCATGCCCAGACTGTTAATGGTCATTCTAAGAGGTGTGAGGTGATATCTCATTCTAGTTTTAATTTTTATTTAGCTGATGTTTAGTAATGCTAATCATTTTTTCATATACCTTTTGGTGATTTGTCTTATTCTTAGAAATGTTTATTCAGATACTTTGCCCATTTTTTTAAGTTGGGTTATTTGATTTCTTACCATTGAGTTGTTTGAGTTTCTTATATATTTTGGATATTAATTCCTTATTAGATGTATGGGTGCAAATATATTCTCCCATTCCATAGGTTGTCTTTCCACTTGTTGAGTTTTTTTTTTCTTTGCAGAAACTTTCAATTTGATATAATGTTATTTGTCTACTTTTGCTTTTGTTGCCTGGGCCTTTGGGTTAATATCCAAAATGGTTTTGCCCAAGCCAGTGGAGTTTTCCCTTGATTTCTTTTAGTAGTTTTTTTTTTTTTTTTAAGATGGAGTCTCACTGTGTTGCCCCGGCTGGAGTGCAGTGGTGCGATCTCGGCTCACTGCAACCTCTACCTCCTGGGTTCAAGTGATTCTCCTGTCTCAACCTCCCGAGTAGCTGAGATTACAGGCACCCACAACCACACCCAGCTGTTTTTGTATTTTTAGTAGAGGCGGGATTTCACCATGTTGGCCATGCTGGTCTTGGAATCCTGACCTTAGGTGATCTGCCCACCTTGGCCTCCCAAATTGCTGGGATTATAGTCTTTCATCTTACATTTAAGTCATTAATCTATCTTGAGTTGACTTTGTATGTTTTGTGAGGCAAATGTCCACTTCCATTCTTCTGCATGTGGACATGCAGTCTCCCAATCCCATTTATTAAAGAGACTGTTTCCTTCTCCATTGTGTGTTCTTGACACATCCCAAAAATTGTTTGACCCTAAATGCATGCATTTTTTTCCTGGGCTATGAATCACTTCCATTGGTCTATGTGTCTGTTTTTATGCAAGTACTGTGTTGTTTTAATTACTGTAATTTTGTAATGTAGTTTTGTGTTTAGGTAATGTGATGCTTCCAACTTTGTTCCTTTCCCTCTAGATGGCTTTGGTTATTTGAGATCTTTTGTGGTTCCACATGAATTTTAGGACTGTTTTTTCTATTTCTGTAAAAAAAATGTCATTGGATTTTTGATAATGGTTTGCATTGAATCACTTTGGATAGAATGGACATTTTAACAACATTAATCCTTCTGATCCGTGAACATGGAATATCTTTCGGATTTATTTGTTTATTTCTTGAGTTTTTTCATCAATGTTTTATAGCTTTTGCATACAGATCTTTCTACTCCTTGGGTGAATTTATTCCTGCATGTTTTGTTTTCTGTAGTTATTGCAAATGGGCTTATTTTCTTGTAAACTTTTTTGGATAGTTTGTTGTTAATGTATAGAAACTTTGTTGTTGTTGTTGTTGTTGTTTTTGATGATACCCATCCTAAGGGGTATGAAATGGCATCTGGTGTAGTTTTTAGTTAGTATTTCCCTAATGATTCGTGATGCTGAATATCTTTTCATGCGTATGTTCTTTGGAGAAATGTCTGTTTCAGTACTTTGCCCATTTTTGAATTGAGTTTATTGTGATTGAGTTTTAGGAGTTGTCTGTATATTCTGGATGTTAATCCCTTACAGGTGGTGTGGTTTGAAAACATTTTCTCCCATTCTGTGGGTTGTCTTTTTACTTTGATAATATCGTCTTAAAAGTTCTTTTTCCTTGCCATGTGAAGTAACTGATGTTGTCTTTTGAGTCACAATATTTCAAAATTTTCATAAAGTCTAACTTGTTTATTTTTTCTGTAGTAGCCTGTGCCGTTGTTGTCACATCTAAAGAATCACTGCCAAATCCGATGTTGTGAAGTTTTCCTTTGTGTTTTCTTCTAAGACTTTAATTAAATTTTTATTTGTCAATATTTAGGACTGACAAAAGCTTTTTAACATTCCTGGGCACCATCTCAGTTATTGATCTACTCCCAAGATGGATCATTTCAATTAAAACATGTAAAGCATGACCTCACCTGAATGTGTTTGAACTTGCTCTTCTCCCTTTCAAATCGACTCCCTCACTTACATAGTTTGTGTTCAAATGTCAACAAATAAAACATAAAAAGAAATCAATCTTTTCATAGACCCTTTATCTAAAATAGAATAGTAGGTGCCATGACATTTCATCCTTTCATCTTGAATTATTTACTTTTCTACATGAACCAATCCATTCTTCTGTGTGCATGTGTGTGTGTGTGTGTGTGTGTAGTTTATCTGTCTACATATAATGTAAACACCAAAAAATAACAGACATTTAGTAATTTTCAAATGAGACTTCAGGAATTAACAATGGCTTGCCATTTTTAGTGTGTTATTATTATTATATTTAGATGAACAGAATTGCCTCAGGAACATGGCCAGGGGCTCATAGTCCAGGAGAACTGTGGCCTGACTCAGGTACATTTTACCTGCAATAACAGCAATTGCAGGTCACTGGAGTCCATCACAATTGGCTGGAGACAAATGTAAGACAAGAATATTTGCAGTTTCCCCAGACTGACACAGTTGCAGGTTCCCCGAAGTAATGAGTCCTGAGACACCTCCAACAAGAGCTAGAAAAGGTATCACTTCAAGAGGAGTTGCAGCCTACTCATTTTAGACAAATGGAGCAAAATTACAGTATCACATCTTTTCCTTTCTCCTTCATAGAATCTGGATGAACAGAACAGAAAGAGTTAATGGAATATAAGATTCCAATTCTCTGGCATGAGAAAATAGACAAGGAAAGGAAGATTCATCTTCATCACATCTCAGACATGCTTGGACACAGGGTCCAAGCACAAAAGAGAAACACATACTTCTTCCCATCCACACTGGGATCCAGGGTCTTCTCCCTCCTGTCAGGCCAGAACTGAGTCTCCACTCCCCAATTTAGTTCCCAGAGATGAAGCCCAATTTTCCTCTGTCTCAAGCTTTGAAGGCCAGCTTTAGCGTGTTCACCATGGATGAATGAAGGTGAGGTCAGAGGTTTGGGAAATGGTCAAGAATGAGGTGAGAAGAGAGCTGTGGAGGCATGGCCCCGGGGAGCTTGGTACCCCCCCATATCCAGAGCCTGTCTGGTCCAGGAGAGTTCCCAACCCTGTGAGCACCAACTCCGGATATTCTGGGCAGTGACCCGAGGGACAGCCTCTTATGAATACAGGCTGTTTTCCTCCAGTGTCTGCTGTGAAACCAGGATGTACAACATGGCCGTGTTCAACCCAACAATGGACTTAGGATTTTGCTGTACGCCAAAACTCAGTGTCCAACTTCCACTCTGTTTAGCTGGAAAAAGAAGGGGTTTGTTCCCATACATCTCACTCCTGTGTTCCTCTTTCAGTCTCAAAGCTCAGATGAAAACAATGAGTGTCACTTATTGTCAATCCTCTTCCCTGCCTTTTCCACACTCATCAGTATTACCGTTTACATTGAGACTAAAGATGGCCAATCACCACTTTTCTTCGGAAAAATCAACCTGATGTTGTACCTACTTTTTTAGAGGTGGAATCAACCTACCCTAAGATGCCAACTACATTTTACTGAATGGACTTTTGTGGATCCCCTCGATGTATATAGTGGCACCTTGAGGTATCATCCCTGTCTTTAGCAAATGAATATTATCCCAAGGACAATATTTCATCACAATTATTCGGGATGGACGAGTGGATATTGTGGTAGCAAGAACATTACTAAAAGTCACAGCTGATACAACACACTTGAAACCCATCTGGCCAATCTCCCACAGACAGAATGTCGCGCCATTCACTCCAGCCAGCTTCAGTCATGTTTCTTCCATTTCCACCTGTGGCCCCTCATGTCTCCACCAGGTCTTAGCCAGCATTGCCAAAAGAGCCAGGAAGACCAGACCAGCCACAACAATCCTGATGGAACTCTCCACAGTATAGTTCTGGAGAACAGGGGCTGGAGGGTGGGGGTAAGATCAGAGACCTTTCCATGTGGGCCAGGCCCCTCTCTCCCCAGAAGCTCTGAAATGGAGCTATTTCCCCATCTCACCTTCATAAAATTCTTCCTGTCCAGAACCCCTCTTCTCCCTATATCATCATGAGCACCTTCAGAAGTCTTTTGCCACAAAAAGAAATTTCTTTTGAAGATATACATTTTTTTGTACATTTCAAAAATGTTCCCAAACTAATTCTCCAAAGCAATAAATGTTTGTGTGTATTGCTGGGTAGGTTATGCATACAAGGAAAGGAAGCATAGTGAGTCTGATTTGGCAGAGGAAACATATGTGGAAATTATATCATTTACTCTCTTTACAAAATTAAGTACAAAATTGAAAACACTGGTAAGAAAGAATGAGCTATAGAGAAAGAAAACATCTGAGATGCTTGTTTCCAAGATGGCTGACTAAATGCTTTTCTGGCATGTCTCATCCACTTAGAAGAACGAGCAGAATCCAGAACAAAAACCATATGATCATCTCAATAGACATAAAGAAAAGCATCTGAAAAGAAATTCAACATCCTTACCTGATGAAAACCCTCAAAAACTTAGGCATAGAAAGAACATACCTCAAAATAATAAAAGCCATAGATGACATATCTAGAGTCAACATCATACTGAACAGGAAAAGTTAAAAGCACTCCTCTGAGAACTGGCACAAGACAAGGACACGGACATCCACCACTTCCTATCAACATAGTACTGGAAGCCTTGTCAGAGCTATTGGGCAACAGGAAGAAGTAAAAATCCAAATTAGAAAAGAGGAAGTAAAATTATTTTTATTTCTGATGCTATGATCTTAAATCTAGAAAATCCTAAAGACCCTGCCAAAAATTCTTATGATTGATAAATGAACTAAGTAAAGTTTCAGAATACAAAATCAATATGTAAAAGCCGGTAGCATTTCTCTACACCTATAATGATCTAGCTGAGAACCAAATCAAGAAGGCAATGCCGTTTACAATAGATACGCAAAATTAAAACACTCAGGAATACATTTAACCAAGGTGGTGAAAGATCTGTACCAGGAAAGGTGTAAGACACCAATGAAAGCAATTATAGATAATACAAAAAAAAAAAAGAAAAAAAATCCCACGCTCATGGATCATAAGAATTAATATTGTTAAAATGACCATACTGCCTAAAGCAATCTACAGATTCAGTGCAATTCTTATATGAAAATAGTAACACCAGTTTTCACAGAATTAGAAAAAGCAATCCTAAAATTCATACAGAACCAAAAAAGATCCTAATAGAGAAAGCAATTCTAGGTGAATGTAGAAACCTGGAGGCATCACGCTATCTGACTTCAAACTATGCTCTAAGGCTATAGTAACTTAAATAGCACAGTGCTGGTATAGACACAGAAACAGAGATCAATAGACCAGAATAGAGAGCCCAGAAATACAGCCTCATATCTACAGTGAATAATCATTGACGACGTTAACAAAACATACCCTGGAGAAAGATTTCCTTTTCAATAAAAGGTGCTGGGAAAACTAAATAGCCATATGCAGAAGAATAAAACTGGACCTGTATCTGTAATCATACACATAAATTAACTTAAGGTAATTAGCAGCTTAAATGTAAATCCAGAACTATAAAATCACCGGTGGAAACCCAAAGAGAAACTCTTCTGGGCATTGGTCTGGGCAAAGAATTCATCACTAAGACCTCAAAAGCACAGGCAATAAAAATAAAACTAGACCAATGGGACTTAATAAACGAAAGAGCTTCTGCCAAGCAAAGGAAATAGTAGCAGGGTGAACAGACAACCCACAGAATGAATGGAAATGTTTGCAAACTATGCACCCAACAGGGGACTAACATCCAGAATTTCTAGGCAACTCAAACAACTAAACATAACCCCTCAAATAATAGCATTAAAAAGTGGGCAAAGGGATATACATAGACATTTTTCAAAAGAAGACATACGAATGGCCAAACAGCGTATGAACATCACTAATCATCAGAGAAATGCAAATTGAAACCACAATGAGATATCATCTTACAGTAGTCAGAATGGCTATTACTAAAAATGCTGGTGGGGAGTGGTGGCTCACGCTTGTAATCCCAGCACTTTGGGAAGCTGAGGCGGGTGGATCATGAGGTCAGGAGTTTGAGACCAGCCTGACCAACATAGTGAAACCCCATCTCTACTAAATATACAAAAGATTAGCTGGGCATGGTGGTGTGGTTCTGTAATCCCAGCTACTCAGGAGGTTGAGGCAGGAGAATCATTTGAACCTGGTTGGTGGAGGTTGCAGCGCGTGGAGATGGCGGCACTGCACTCCAGCCTGGGTGACAGTGGAAGACTCCATCTCAAAAAGAAAAAAAGAAAAAGTGAAACATATAACAGGTGTTGGCAAGGATGCAGAGAAAAGGAAACTCTTATACACTGTTGGCCGGTATGTAAATTAGTATAGCCTCTATGGAAGACAGTATGGAAATTTGGCAGAGAACCAAAAATAGAAGCACCATTCGATCTAGGGGTCCCGCTGCTGGGTATCTACTCAAAAAATATCTGCACCTGTATGTTTATTGCAGCACTGTTTGCAATAGCAAAGATATGAAATCAATCTAAGTGTCTGTGAATGAATGATTGGATTAAAAAAAGGATGCGTGTATACACAACGAAATACTATTTGGTCATAAAAATAAAACCATGTCTTTTGCAGCAACATAGATGGAGCTGGACGCCATTATTTTACATAAAACCACTCAGAAAGACAAATACCACATCTTCTCACTCTACATGGGAGGGGAGTAATGTGTACATATGGACGTAGAGTGTGGAATGACGGACAGCGGAGGCTAGAAGGCTGGAGGGTGGCGGGACGTGGGTGAGTGATGAGAATTTGCTTAATGAGTACAATGTACGGTATTTGGGTGATGGATATAGTAAAAGTCCTGACTTCACTACTCTGCAACATACTCATGTCACAAAATTACAAGTGTACCTCATAAATTTATACTAATAGAAAAGAAAGTCTGTACACAGTAATCAATTGTGATATGTAGATAAAGTCAATATTAAATTTAAACCAGAATAACTAGTTAAAATGTTGTGTACACAACAGTGAAGAGAGTATTTATCCTCTATGACAGAGGAAACCATCAATATTAATGCACAGAAAAAGCAAATAACTGAAACAAGAAAGAGCAGTTTTGTGACAGGGTAAAAATTGACAACAGTTTTAGAATGCTCCTAACTTGAGTTCCAAAAAGAAAGAACGAGAAAACAGGTCAGAAGCAATCTTTAAAGAGGCAATTGTTGATTATTTGGAGGAAGTAGACACATCCATCAATCCACAGGTTCAAGAAATCCAGTGAATGCCAGGCAGAATGAAGTAAACACACCTCACGTTCAACATTACAGAAAAGCAGCATAAAAGCACAACCAACCCTTAAAATTAGCCAGAGGAAAAGGATCAGCTGGTAAGGATTTATAGGGAGCCAAGCATTGTCTTCCCCACAGAAAAAAGGAAAACATAAGCCAGTAGAATAGCATCTTTACCCAGCTAAGATACCGTCGCCAGCCACCGACAATTCCTTACATAGTACAGTTACTGTCCAAGATCAACGCAGGAAAGAAACAGAACTGAAAGACAAAAGGGCAAAGAAAGCTTTTCTCACTGACCCTAAAGGAAATTCTGATGACCGTGCCTCAAAGATAAAGAAAGTGAAACCAGATGGGGTGTCGAAGATTCTGACAATAACTAAGAGCAGAGGAAGAACTAAAAATATGGCTATGCCAAAAATGAATATGGACCATACGATAGTGTATGAAAACATGCCCCTGTGTAATTTCTGAAAAAGATAGAATTATGTATACCACAAAACAAAACATCATATAAGTAAATACAAACATATGTACTAAATATGCTCTAAAATCCTGTTCTTACACAGGAAGAGTGGAAATATGTTTTTATATTTGCAGTTTAATCTCTGAAATGATTAATTTCAATTTTAAAAATATGTAACAACTTCAGGATGAGTACACCATATATGTATTCCTAAACGACATAGATCAAAAATAGAATGTTTGAAATAGAAAACCACAGAAGTCAGTGGGAAAAAAAGGGAATCAGGAAAACACAACGTAATAATAACAAAAATATGATTGGAAGAACTGCTCAAACATGAACAAAAGATTGTCAGAAAGTCTTACTTTCTAAGGCGAATTGTTTGAAATTTACAAAGGACACATCTCAATGTTAACAATTCATGGAGTTTGAAATTAAACAATGTAGAAATATACCAAGCAATCACTGTTAGAAATGTGGTATAACTATATTAAAATTAGACAAAATTAGTCTTTGGGAAAAATCAGCGGAAAACATTAAGCATAAAATGTAGGAAAAAAGCAGGTAAATTTATAGCATTTTAAATTTACCAGGAATATATAATCAGTTTACACTTAACCACTCCCAGTAATATTCCTGCAAATATACATGGAGGAAGAGTCGCGGAAATAAATGGACAGGTAGGCAAATCCACGGCCACAGTGGGGTGTTTAACACTCCTCTTTTCTCAGTTGTTGATAGAAGTGGTTCAGGCAATTAGAGAGGATTTAGAAAGATAATTGCTGGACCTGACCCAAGGTATAAGTCCACTCCCAACCACAGGACTCACTTTCCTTACAAGCACAAGGGCATTTAGAAATCTCTCTGGATTCTGACCAGCCCTCACCATATGGCAGGTCCATGGACTTCTTGGAACACACCAAGCTCATTCTCACATTAGGGTCATCCCCAATGTCCTAAGTCCATGAAAGTTCCTTTCAACACACTCCCCAGGGCTCACTCCCTCTTGTCTCTAAGATCGGAGTTTAAATGTGATCTCTCTGATGAGGTCTCAGTGAGACGTTCCCTCCTGTACACTCCAAATGACAACGTTCCACGTTCATTCATTTCATTCTGTGCATGGCACTTTCACCAAGTGCTAAGGATTCACTCACTAATTCATACATTCATTCATTCATTCATTCACTCATTCCATCATTCACTCATTCATTCATTCTCTCATTCATTCATTCATGTTCTGCCTCTCTCTCCCACCCCACAGCAATGTGAGCATCATGAACCCAGGAGCTTGGCCGTGCTGTCTACTCCTGGCCATGAAACAGAGAGAACTGATGGTAGGTGTGAAATAAATATTAGATGAATGAGTTAGTGAAGGGGTCATTTACTGGGTGAGCTCAGTTCTCTCTACTCTAATGCCCTCCCTCGGCTGACTTCCCTGAGTTGCCCCCTCGGCTGAGTGAAGTCCCTTCACTGGCAAATGGAACCTCAACCAGTAGCACCTAGGTGGTCTCATACTTTGTTCTTTCCCTCTCCTCTTGCTCCCTAAGGATTATCAATCTCCATGACAGGGCTGGAGAGCAGACAAGCCACACATTCTTTCTGGGGAGAGAGTAACATGGAGTACAAGGCATTCCACATTTAGGAAGAGAACTCAGTTATGGAAGGTCAGAAATGAAAAGTTCCTACAGACCAACACCCAGGTTGGTGGCCACAGCCCTAAATGCTGATGGAGAATCACTGCAAGTCTGTAGGGAAGATGTCTGGCTTGAGGCCACTGAGCGAAGTGGCAGATCCTTCTCAGCCTTCAGTGCTGAGCCTCTGTCCCCTCAGGGATCCACTGACCAATGAGAAGAGCCTCTTCTCATCTCCTGGGATGGAGCTTGGGGCCCCTGGCGAAGGAATGGGCCTGTTTCCACCTGTCATGTTGTCATCTAGCTTGGAAATCCTGCGAGTCCCAGGGAGGCCCTCCCCGAGTCCCCAGAGAAGACTCCCCCACTGAGTCTCCAAGGTGTGGAGAGAGCAAAAAACATCTAGGGTGGAAAATGCCTCCCATCAAGAGACATTGGGGCTCCCCCAACGATGGTTGCATCTGTGCCCCCCATGTGGAAATCACTCTTTGGTGAGAGGTGGGGGCTTCTGGAAATGGGCAATGGCGGGCGGCCAATGCTACCTCTAGTCTTTCCAATCTGAGCCCGGCCTTTCATGCTCCTGAGTCAGCATTGATGCTGTTTACATGTGTCCCAGGTGGGCTTCTGTACAAAGACTGGGAAGTGGTTTATGTGGCCTGTGCTCTATCTGCAAGCTTCAGGTAGGGTTGCAGTTACCACCCCAAACCCTAATGTGATCTGTCTGCCTCGCTCTGTCTGTCTGTCTATGCCTCTTTCTGTATGTTTGCTTTGTGTCTCTTCTGTCCAGCATCTCTGGCTGACACCCCCATGGCCACCCCCTCCATCTGAGGCTCCCCTGAATGTGGCCATTGTAGTCCATCTGAGTCCCACTATTTGGGGAACAGACTGGTTTCCTCACCTGTGACAGAAACAAGCAGTGGGTCACTAAGGTCTGACCACTCGTAGGGAGAGTCACGGAAAGAGCCGAAGCATCTGTAGGTCCCTCCGTGGGTGGCAGGGCCCAGAGGAAAGTTGGCCTGGAAGGTTCCATTGACCTTGGGCACTGCAGGGAACCTAAGTTCATGAGCCTCCCCCTCCCTTGATAGATGGTAGATGTCATAGGAGCTCCGGGAGCTGCAGGACAAGGTCACGCTCTCTCCTGCCTTAACCATGGGGCGCGGCTGGGCTGAGAGAGAAGGTTTCCCACATAGACCTGGAAGGAGAAGAGGCAGTTTCCTCAGGGAGGTTCTTCCTTGTCACAACTCCCCTCCCACCTGAGCTGAGAACTCACTCCCCTGCTCTATGGCCTAATGCTCTCTCTCTCTGTCTCACCCTCCACACCATCTCTCTTTATGTCTATTTCCTCTTTCCACCTTCTCTGTCTCTCTAGGTCTCTGACCTCACTTTCTCACCTCTAGATATGTTTTCCCTTTTTGGATTGTTTTATTCTCTCTGACTCTCCTTGGACTAGTTGACTTGATGTTACTTTTTTTAAATTCTGAGTTTCTCACTTTGTGTCCTGTTCATAACTTTCTGCATATTTCTATCTATTATCTATCGATATATCTATTTATCTATTTGGTGCCTATCTACAAATTCTCTACCTGTCATCTATATCTATATATAATCTATTTATCTATCAATTGTCTATCCAAAAATCATCTATTATCTATATCTATGTATCGTCTCTCTCTCTCTATGATTTCTCTTTGTCTGCCTCTCTATCTCTATGTATTATCTATCTATCTTCATCTTCATCATCTCTATGTATCATCGATTAATCAATGAATGAATCAATCATCATCTATGTATCTATAACCTATTATCTATCATCTACCTATTTATCATCTATCTATATCTATCCATCTATCATCTGTCTTGCTCTGCCTCTCGGTCTCTCTAGTTCTCTTTGGAATCTCTGCAATTCATCCCCACATCTCCATCTTTCTATGTCCTTGTGTCTCTCCCTCAGGACTCTAATTTTAGTGCTTTTCTCTGTTCCCTTCCATTGTTCTCTCCACTTCTCTGCCCTCTTTTCTCCCTCTTTATGTGTCTGTGAGTCTCTCAATCTCCTTCCTCTGGCTCATTCTCTGTGTGTTTATGTCTTTGCTTTTTGGTGTCCCTGATTTCTCTCTGTGTCTCTCAGTGATCCTCTCATATGTGGGGTTATTTGGAATGTGAGCCTCAGAATCCAGTCTGGGGACCGCAAGTTCACACAGTATACAGGGGTTGATGTTCTGGGGCCATGATATCCTGGGACGATTACTCTCCATTGCATGGAAGGCAGAGGTGTCAGAATAAACACGGCATCTGTAGGTGCCAGAAGGCCTGAGGCCACAGGGCCCAACTCAGGCCAGAAATATGGGTGTCCTTGGGTTCTTCTGGTAGAGAACACTTTGTGGAAGTAAAACAGAAATGAAACTTCTAACCTGTGCCAGGTCTCTGAGCAAAGTCAGCATGGAAGGACACCTCTCTCTGGCACATGTCTGTCTGTGTCTCCTTTAACTCTTTCTGTCTTTTCTAACTCCCTGTATGGCCCCTGTGTCTGTCCTCTGTTATGACACCTGGTCTGTACTTGTGTCTCCTGTTTCTCTGTCTCTGTTGGTACAGACCTCACCAAGTTAGTCTCTCTCCATAAGAATACCAAGCTCATCTTCCTTATAACCACCTGGGCCTCCAAGTCGTGGATCATTCACTCTGTGTCCCAGTGACAATGAGAATAATGTCCAGACACTCTCACCTGTAATCACGATGTCCAGAGGGTCACTGGGAGCTGACAACTGATAGGGGGAATGAGGAACAGAACCGTAGCATCTGTAGGTCCCTGCAAGGTCTTGCGTCATGCGACCGATGGAGAAGTTGGCCTTGGAGACCCCATCATGGAGCTCTCCAGTGAGGCGCAAAGTGTCATTAAACTTCCCCTCTCTGTGCAGAAGGAAGTGCTCAAACATGACATCTGACCAACATTGCAGGATGACTGTCTCTTCTGATTTCACCAGGGGACCTGGGTGGGCCAGGAGGGAAGGTTTTCTGTGGACTCCTAGGAAGAGAGGTTGTGACTTTAGAAGGCATCTCTCTTTATCATCCCATCCATGGCACCTAGAATGAGTGAGGCTTCCCCTCGCTGGTGTCTTATCTCTCTCCTTCCTCTCTGTGTCTTCATGTTCTTTTCTGTGCCCATAACTCCTGGTACAGGTCCTTCCATCTGTCTCCCTCCCTCTTCTCTGTCCCTCTGTCTCTAGTAGCTCCTGATTCCCTTGCCGCTGGGCTCAGCCTCATCTCTTGGGCTGTTGTATCTATTTCGAACTAATGTCTTTCCTGCTTCTATGTGGGGGTGGAAGAGGAACCAGGATAGGCTGCACGTCCAGGCTCTTAGCAGCCTGGTTCAATCTCTTTTGGACGAATTGGAATCCTTGGCAGAAGGTATGAACTGATCAGTAAGGCAGGCACCAGTGTCCACACACCCTGTTCCTGGTGGGGACTGGGAGCCACTCTTGCCATGCCTGTGCCTTCTCCATGGTGCCAGCTTCCATAGGCTGGCTTCTGGTGCTGGTTTGAGGAGTATCAACCCCTCCCTATGTGGATGGAGCCTGGTGGTGGCATCATCATCCCACCCTTGCTGATCTCGGTGTAGCCAACCTTCTCTTTGTTTGGTTTCTTTAATTAATTAATTAATTTTGGAGTCAGAGTCTCACTCCTTCACCCAGGCTGGAGTGAAGTGGTGTGGTCTAGGCTCACTGCAACCTCTGTCTCCTGGGTTCAAGTGATTCTCCTGCCCTCAGCCTCCTGAGTTGCTAGGATTACATGCACCTGCCACCACGCCCGGCTATCCTTGTGTCCTTTCTTATCTTGTCCTTGACCTGGGTTCCAGTGTTGGTTTCCTGTTGGTGCTGTGGAAAATTATCAGAAGCATGGCAGCAGGAGAGAGCACACTGACCCCTTCCGTTTCTGGAGACAGAAATCGGACCCTGTTTTTTGAGGGCTAAAATCAAGGCATCTGCAGGGCTGCGTTCCCTCTGGAGACCCAGGAGAATCAGTTCCTTGACTTTTCCAGCCTCTATAGGCCACCTGCATTCATGGCTCATGGCCTTCCTCCACCTTCAAAGCTGATGGAGACTTCCATTGCACTGCTCTAATCGCCACTCCCCTCTTCCTTCTCCTCTCATGTGCACCCTTGTGATTACACTGAGCCCAGCAGGACAGTCCAGGCTGTCTCCCCATCTCAAGGTCAACTCAACAACCTGAGCTCCATCTTCCCCTTCAGTGCCTTCCCCTATAACATAAATAGTCACAGACTGCAGGGATTAGAATGCAGTCATCATTGGGGACAATTATTCTTTCCACCACAGCACCCATTTCCCTGTATTCAATCCCCTTTTACCCCAAATACAGTTAGGGTCTGGATGATGGGACGCTGGTGGACACTCCCACCAGAAGCTCTGGGACTCAGGAGGTGGGACAAGGAGAATCCCAGACAGGAGCCCTCTGACCTGTGACCATGATCACCAGGGGGTTGCTGGGTGCTGACCACCCAGTGAGGAAGTGTGGGTGTGAACCCCGACATCTGTAGGTCCCTGCATGTGCTGGGGTCACAGGGCCTATGAAAACGGTGTTTCGGAATACTCTGTTGTAGAGCTCAGGGACAGGCATCCCGTCTTCTTTGGACAGACTGAATTCGTTAAACCCAAGACGAGAGCGACACTGAAGAGCCACATGTTCTCCTTCAGACACCACAGGGCTGGGCCAGGCAGAGAGGAAGGGCTTGTCCTGACCACCTGGGGGAGAAGGAGGCGCCACCTTAGAGAGGAGGATGTGGCACTCCCTCCCTCTATTCCTTTCCAGGACTCACCAACACACGCCATGCTGACGACCATGAGCGACATGGTGCTGCCGGTGCAGACAGGCGGCCGCGCCCCAGCTCAGCTCAGCAGCGCACAGGATGTTATTTGGCGCCCTGCCCATGCAGCTTACATGTTGACTACATCATGGGAGGGTGACGTACGCAGGCTCTTTCTACCTTGCATGAGGCCCAGTGGATGCTTGCTCAAGAGCGGAACACGGCTTCCTGGAAATTGTTCTCACTAGAATTGGCACCTCACGTCCTTCACTATGACCAACTCACAACACGTCTCAGATCCAACCTCCCGAACACAAGATGCCTAAAATCTGTGCTAACGTGAAAGACTTTTCATGTATTTTTATCCGAACACGAGATGCCTAAAATCTGTGCTAACATGAAAGACTTTTCATGTATTTTTTTTGTTTTTATCTGAGATTCAAACTCTTCTTCCTGTGTAATATGCAAAGTATCTAATAGGTATTATTAATGTTTTCGGAGTCATTGTGACTAATAAACCATTAGAATTTTTCATGCTTGTATTTCTAGTATTACAGCAGAACCAGCTAAAATGATTTAAATTCCCAGGGAAGGATTATGCAATTATTTACAATCTTAGAATTGTACTTTATCAGCAAAAACCACACCTGTAAATTCTGGAGTTTTGTAGTTTAATCTAAAATTTGTCTCATGACCCAAGATTCCAGAGTCCCAACTCTGGAGTTTGCTCTCTGTCTGTCTCTCTCCCTCCCTCGTTTTAAATTTTACAGAAATATCCAGTAACATAATGCTATAGAAAATCAAGTTTTCCCCAGCACGTTGGGAAGCCGAGGTGGGCGGATCAACTGAGATAAGGAGTTTGAGAGCAGCCTGGCCAATATAGTGAAACCGTGTCTCTGTTAAAAATCCAAAAATTAGCCGTGCCTGGTGGCAGGCACCTGTAACGCCAGCTACTCAAGAGGCTGAGGCACGAGAATCGCTTGAACCTGGGAGGCGGAGGTTGCAGTGAGCTGAGATTGTGCCACTGCAGTCCAGCCTGGGCGACAGAGCAAGACTCCGCCTCAAGAAAAAAAAAGCAAACAGCCTATAATAACAAATTAGAGGGCTCTGGCTACTAAATTTAAAGGGTTCTATAAGGCTACATAAAGTGCAGCATCATCAAGAGTGTGGACACAGAGAGCCCCTTAGCAGAAACAGTGTCTAAAATACATCCATGTACACACAGTCCCTTTAGAGTTGACAAAGGCTGCCGTGTGGTTTAAGGTGGCATAGAATGTCTTCTCAATAAATAATATTAAACCAATTGGTTACACCTAGGAAAAAATAAATCTAACTCACACTATAAAAACACTTCTTAGTTTTTATCTAGTTGTACATTTTTTATGATTTATATTTAAATTTGAGAAATAAAAGTCATATACGGTCATCCTTCACTATTCGTGGGTGATTGGTTTTGAGATCTCCACTCAGATACCAAAATCTGTAGATGCTCAAGCCTCTTATATGAAATGGCACAGCGTTTGCAAATAACCTATGCACATCCTCCTGTATACATGAAATCATCTCTAGATTACTTATAATTCCTGATACAGCCTACACACAGCTTCATTTGTGTCCATTCAACATAGTTATGCTTTTTGAAACTCTGTGGATACTTTCTCTCAATATTTTTGATTTATACTTGGTTCAATAAACACCTGTAAACCCCGCAGATATGGAGGAGTGACCGTATATTTATATTATGAAAGATGATGTGTTGATATGTGTCCCCATGGAGATGAGACTAACAAGGCCTATGATTCTACAAATGTTTCATTGTGGAATGACTCTGCCAGCTTTCCAGGTCTGCAGAGAGTAAGAGTATCACTTGTTCATATGATTCGTGATCCTTGGAACCTCCTATGTGCTACATCTTTGGATGGAAATTGGAGTCCCAGAGACAAATGAGGCTCCACCCTGCTTCCAGAAACTCAGAGTCCGGGGATGAGAACTCAGTGGGGAACAGATGGGATTATATGGACATGGTACTGATAACACCGGAAGCCTTAGGCAAGAAAAGAGTCCCATTACCGAAACCATGGGGGCAGACATGTTTATTTGAAGGATGGAAAACTACATTGAAGTTATTTTAAAAAATATATAAGTTTTACTGCTGACAGAAGACTGAAAGCTAGTCTGAGGGGAGGTGGAACAGCATGAGGGAAGGTGGAACAACACGTGTCTAAGTGCTGCGTTAAGAGGGAGCCTCTTGTATGTTTGGAATTGTGAGTTCCTCAGTGTGATTGCAGCCTCAAGTAGACTAGGAAGTAAGCCAGTTAGGTTGGAGAGGTGGGCAGGGGTCAAGTGAAATGGAGAACTGTGGGTTAAGCAAAGGGGTGTGTTTTTTCTCCAGCAGGCAGTGGGGACCTTAGACATTTGTAAGCAAGTGAGAGGCACATTCAGATTTGTGGTGTGAGGAAGATCGATGCCCTAAGATGCAGACTCACGCCTTCAGATTCCAGCTGCTGGTACATGGGAGCTGGCAACCCGGTTTTGAGACAGGGCTGTTGTCTCCCTAGAAGACGCCCTCAAGGCCTGACTGTGGTGCTCATGGGCAGGAGACAACTTTGGATCTGGACTCAGCATTTGGAAGTTCCGTGTACACGATGATATCTGTTGGGGGTGTCTTGGGCCTCTGAGAAGGGCGAGTGATTTTTCTCTGTGTGAAAACGCAGTGATTCAACTGTGTGTATGTCACCTCCTGAGGGTCTTGTTCATCAGAGTCCTGGAGAGAGGGAAATGCTGAGTGAGGGAGGGTGCTCACATTTTCCAGGACTCTTTGGGAATAACAGTAGCCACGAGCCCGGGCCGAGGAGTACCTACCTCGCTATTCGCTGTTCTGTTTCCTGCAGACTCTTGGTCCATTACCGCAGCATCTGTAGAAGATGGAAGTCAACAAAACAGCTCGGAGGGCACTTCTGGGTCCTCATTTCATAAGCAGATACCAACATACAGGGGGAGACCATAGGTGGCTGAGGTCCCTCAGTTGCCAACAGCAGACTCAGACATTCTATCTCTCTGAGCTCAAGGACCCATCCCATGAATAGCTCTGAGTTCCCATCCCATTGATTCTGTCTCCCACTTTCTGCCTGTCATGGAACCTTCTCCTGGATGTGAGTGGCTGCAGGGGACATGGGGATACAGTTCAGAATCAGGCAACGGTCTGTGAGTTGAAGGCAGGGACAGGGAGTCTGGTGCCCTCTCTAGAAAGTCCTGCCTCTGTGGCTGCTGCCTTGGGCCAGGGACCATCCTGTTTGTGAGGAACACACACCTGAGTGCTCCCATCCTGCTTCCCCACATGGCCCTGAGCTCTCTGGCCTCTGCTTCGTGAGACTTACTTTTTTTGTTGGAGCACCAGCGATGAAGGAGAAAGAAGAGGAGGATGAAGAGGATGATGACCACTGAGGTCCCAATCAGAATGTGCAGGTGTCGGGGGTTACCTGGAAGAAGATGAGACACCAATAAGAAGCTAATCTTAGCAGTTCCTCTTTATGAATTGTCTCGCATTTCTTGATTGACAGGTAACCACATAAAACACCTCTTTAGGACAAGCACCCAGATGGCAGGAGACCCAGCTTTCTCCTGCTTTTTCAGTTATAGCTCTCATAGTAACCATAGAACGTGCTGAGGATACGACTACTTTAGTTGAGATGTTTGACCCCTTCAAACCTCACATTGAAATTTCACCCCCACTGTGGGAGGTTGGGCCTCTTGAGAGGTGTTTGGGTCATGGAGGTGGATCCATCATGAACACATCAATGCTGTCCCAAGGAGACGGGGTTAGCAAGTTCCCCCTCTATTAGTTCCCGGAGAGCTGGTTGTTAAAAAGAGCTTGGAAGCTCCATCACTCCCCCTCCCCCTTGCTCCCTCTCTTGCCGTGTGATCTCTGTGGTCTCTGCACAGACAGACCCTCCTTCCCTTCTGCCAGAGTGGGAGCAGCCTGAGGCCGTCACGAGAAATAGATGCTGGTGCCATGCTTCCAGTACAGCCTGCAGAACGGTGAGGCAAACCAATCTCTTTTCTTTAGAAGTTACCGAGGCTCAAGTGTTCCTTTAGAGCAACAAAAATGGCCTAAGACAGCAACTTCCTGAGATCAGGAGGAACGTCTCAGAACACCCTGGGCTGTCTTCCTGTTCTTCCTGGAGGACGTCATGCAGTGCTTTAGCTGAGTGCTTCCTGTGGCTCCAGGGTACAAAACCCAGGCTGGGCTGCTTTCTGGCTTCCCGCAGCTACACTGCAAATGGGGTGACTCCATATGTCCCGAGGAGCTTTTCTGAGCCTTGAGGGACTGGGTCACATTGAAATATAGGTTTCTGTTGTCACTCGCTGCTTATCTGTTAGTAATGAACCTGCCTATGTAACGTATTCTCTGTGTGTTCTGTCTCCCTGGAGTGACGGTGAGTGATAGGAATTGGCATAGGCCCAGGTGCAGTCCAGGAGGTGTTTAGAGTCTTCTCTGGGAAGACTGGACTGGGATTGATTCACAGCGAATGTGCTTTAGGGTTTCTACATCCACAGCATTCTTGAATCAAACAACTTGCATTCTCCAAGGAAAGAAAACAAAAGTGAAATCAAGATAAAAAAAGCGAAATAGAATTCTCTTATGTCAAACGGCCAGGAAATAGTGTTGAAGCCCGTGTGAAACCTGCTGCTCTTTGTGATCTCGGGAGACACATATTAGGCTGCTGTTCTACCCGAGAGGCTGGGGGAAGGACCACCCCCTCGGCCATCTATTGCTTCAAAACCACCTGTCCTCCTGTGAATTAGTAGGAAAGGGGAGCAGGAGCTAGTGCTGTCGCTGATCTCTGATTCCAAGATCTGGACTCACTCCAAGGAGTGTTAATGTTTACCTCCCCATGGTCTATCTGAATCTCCACAGGTGATTGGAAGTAGGGGTGAGGTGGGGGATTTGGGTGAGTGGGCAAGTTTTTTTTGTGATGACCAGAGCACTTTCTCTATTCCAGGATCTGTGCTGGAGGATTCAGCGGGCTTTCACATTTTCTATATGATCTCATGCTCACAGAAAGCCAAATAGGGAAG
The DNA here is from genome assembly GCF_000001405.40 of Homo sapiens. Lineage (NCBI taxonomy): Eukaryota > Metazoa > Chordata > Mammalia > Primates > Hominidae > Homo > Homo sapiens. The sequence continues at coordinate 82,931 of NW_016107304.1, read as the reverse complement.
AGGTTTTAGGCTCATTGCCTAATGGATAAGATAAAGGATCAAAGAAGTAATTATAGAGAAATAGAAAAACGATGATTGGAATTCAGGTGCCTTTGTCATTCGTGTGTGTTTTATTATATTTATGTATTTCTTATTTTTATTTTTTGAGATAGAGTCTCCTTGTGTCCCCCAGGCTGGAGTGCAGTGATGCAATCTCCACTCACTGCAACCTCCACCTACTGGGTTGAAGTCATTCTCCTGCTTCATCCTCCAGAATAGGAGCTGGGATTACAGGGATGCACCATCGTGCTCGGCTAATTTTTGTATTTTTAGTAGAGATAGGGTTTCACCACGTTGGCCAGGCTGGTCTGGAACTCCTGACTTCATGGAATCCACCCACCTTGGCCTCCTGCAGTGCTAGGTTACAGGCGTGAGCCACTGTTCACAGACTTGTATATTATGCTATAATAAGTCTCTTCATTTCCACCACCACTCATATATCTGTCACTCCTTTGCCAGGTATTGATTTATGTGTAGGATGAATAAATCTCAGAAAGAAATTAATTAAGCGAGGATTAAACAAGTAGGAAAATCAAACCCAGTAAGCCTTTCCAGTCAATGATTCTACCTCACAAACATATCTTATATCCATCTACTTCATTCATTTAGTGTCTAAATCAGCACCACATTTCACCAGTGGGGCGGCAATTGCCTTTTCCACGGTCTCCTAGATTCCAGTTATGCACCTGGGCCTCCCTTATTTTCATGTCAGTCATATTAATCATGTAGGGATTCCTGGTTACCCCGAGGTGAATCCAATGGCTGTGAGTGTCAAACACACACTCCTTGTTGCTCCTTAGTTTCCTGTGTACCCAGTGTGCTCTCCGTCTCTCTACAGTCGTCTTGTCATTCTCCCCACCTCATTCCCAGCATTTGAGTCAGAGCCTCTTCCTTCCACATCAGATTGTTTTCACCTTTGTGCCTTCATGGCTGACAGCTGTGTGTGCAAAATCCTTCCGCCAATCTTTCAGGGGTTCATTCCGTGTTTTTCATTAATGTCACAAATATCTGAATAGTGAGACCTTCTTTGTCACCTGAAATCATACACTCAGCATTATCTATTATTGATTTTGAATTCTGGCTGGGCACAGTGGCTCACGCCTGTAGTCCCATTACTTTGGCATGCTGAGACGGTCGGATCACTTGAGGTTGGGAGTTTCAGACAAGCTTGGCCAACGTGGTGAAACATCCTCTCTACAAAAAATATACAAAAAGAATTAGCCGGGCACGGTGGCAGTTGCCTGTAATCCCAGCTACTCGAGAGGCGGAGGCAGGAGAATCACTTGAATCCAGGAGACGCAGGTTGCAGTGAGCCAAGATCGTGACACTGCACTGTAGCCTGGAAGACAGAGGGCGACTCTGTCTCAATAAACAAAAGAACAAACAAAAAATAGATTTCATGCACAGATGCTTCCCAATGGACCATTCATTTATAGATCCACTTGTGCGTTCATTTTCTGCCCTCCCATTTAACCATCTGCAATATCAGTGTCCCAAGGGCAGAGGCCAAATGCATCTTGTTCACTGTTTGTGGAAGGCAGGAGAATGCTGTCCCACCCCAAAATGTCCCTGTCCTAGCCTCCATAGCTTGTGAATATGTTATTTTACATGGAAAGGAGGAATGAAGATTGCAGATGGAATTATGGTTGCTAATCAGCTGAACTTAAAACAAGGGTATCCTGGATGATTTCCAGGAGATTATGAGGGATTTTCATCTTGGTGAACCCAATAGAATCCCCAAGTTTTCAAAAGATGAGGAAGAAGGGAGAGCAGCACTCAGAGAAAGAGGTGTGGTAAGGAAGAAGGCACTGAGTGATGCCATGTGAGATGTGACCAGTCTTTGTGGGCTTTGAGGAAGGAGGAAGGGGACCAGGAGCCAAGGAACTGGGAGCCTTTAGAAGCTGGGACAAGTGAGAAGCAGATTCGTGCCTGGAATCCTCAGAGGGAAGGCAGCCTTGCTGTCACCTTGATTTTAGCCCAGTAAGATGCACTTCCTACTTTGAGCTACAGCACTGTAAGATAATTAAAAAACCGTTTTGTTTTCACCCACGAATCTTGTGGAAATTTGTTATGGCAACAATAGGAAAAGGTTCCACACTGCACAGCCTGAGCATGGGGCCGTGGCTGAATGAGTCAGTGAGTCGAAGTGTGCGTGCATGAGCTCTGTTCTCTGTTACGGCAAGGCTCTTTCTCTGCGGAGTCAGCCAGGGTTGCTTCATGACCTACAGGAGCTCATTCCTTGGCAAGTGGAACTTCTCTAAAACACCTTGCCCTCATCAGATGTTCCCTTCCCTTCCCTCTCTCAAGTCTCCAGGAATTTATCCTCCAGTTAGGAATGCAGGTAGAACAAACATTGCATTTTTCCTGAGAAGGATGTCAGATTGGCAATCATTCTTCTAGCTTGTAGGAGGTCTCAGCTCCATAAAATGAGAGATGAAGAGATTTCACTGAGCCCTGTGTTGGGCCCAGATCCCTTTCGCTGTAGGAGTATCTGGAGTTCGGAGATGGTGGAAGACAAGTGTACAATGTCAGAGCTGTGAGATGCTGAGTCAACGCCTGAATCCAAGGTTCCCACCTCCCCAGGGTTCCAAAAGCGGATATAAGAGGGTTCTGTACTCACCGGTTTTGGAGCTTGGTTCAGTGGGTGAAGGCCAACTATTTGAAGGGTTTCCTAGAACATGAGACAGGAGAGAGGTGAGGAAATGAGGGTGTCTGTCCTCCACTCAGTGGAAATCTTTGAGGATGGTTCATGGCCAACACTCTCTTATCTAATATTGAGCCCTGGGAGTCCTGGGATCCTTTTTTCCATAATTTTTTTATATGACACCCACTGTCTTGAGACTTCAAGATATAAAGAGAAAACAGGAGCATCACACTACCTGATCTCAAAATATGTTACAGAGCTGTAGTAAGCAAAATAGCATGACATTGGCATAAAGAAAGGCACATAGAACAACGGAGCAGAATGAATAACACAGATATATTCCATGCATTTACATCCAATGGTTTTTTATTTTTTCTTTTGAGATGGAGTCTTGCTCTGTCACTCAGGCTGGAGTGCAGAGGTGCAATCTCGGTTCACTGCAACCTCAGCCTCCTGGGTTCAATCATTCTCTTGCCTCAAATTCCTGAGTAGTGGTATTACAGGTGCTGACCACCATGCTCAGCTAATTTTTATATTTTTAGTGGAGACGATGTTTCATCACGTTGGCCAGACTAATCTTGAACTCCTGGCCTCAGGTGATCCACCCACCTCGGGCTCCCAAAGTGCTGAAATTGCAGGTGTTAGCCACCAAGCCCAGCCCATCCAATGGACTTTGACAAAGATGCCAAGAACTCACAATCAGGAAAGGACAGTCTTTTCAATAAACAGTGCAGGGAAACCTGGACATCTACATGCAGAGGAATGAAACTGCAACTCTACCTGTCACCATACACAAAAATCAAATGAAAATGGATTAAAGATGTGAGTCTAAGGCCTGAACCTATGAAACACGTAGAACAAAATATTGGGGAAATGCTCCAGGACGTTTGTCTGAAGGAAGACATTTTGTTTTAAACCTTCAAAACACAAGTAATCGAAGCAAAAATAGACCATTGGGATTACCTCAAACTAAGCAACTTCAGCACTGCTAAAAATAAACCAACAAAGTGAAGAGACAACCCACAGATTGGGAGCAAATATGTGCAAACTATGCATCTGAGATGGGATTAATAACTAGAAATATAAGAAGCTCAAACAACTCAATAAAACAAATGATTTAATTGAAAAAGGAGCAAAAGACATGAAATTTCCCCACATACGAAAAAGTGCTCAGTATCACTCATCATCAGAGAAACGCAAATTAAAATCAAAGTGAGTTTTCATCTCACCCCATTAAAATGGCTTTTAGGCCGGGTGAGGTGGCTCACTTGTGTCATCCTAGAACTTTGAGAACCTGAGGTGGGTGAATCTCATAAGGTTGGGAGTTTGAGACCAGTCTGACCCACATAGAGAAACGCTGTCTCTACTAAAAATACAAAAATTAGTAGGGCGTGGTGGCGTGTGCCTGTAATTCCAGCTACTCGGGAGGCTGAGGCAGGAGAATCGCTTGAACCTGGGAGGTGGAGGTTGTGGTGAGCCGAGATAGCGCCACTGCACTCCAGCCTGGGTGAGAAGAGCAAAACTCCATCTCAAAATAAAATGAAATAAAATAAAATGGCTTTTAGCTGCAAGACAGGCAAAAGAAATGCTGGCAAGGTGGTAGAGAAAGGAGAACCCTGGTACCCTGTTGGGAGGAGTGTAAATTAGTACAGCCATTACGGAGAAAAGTATGGAAGTCCTTTAAAGAACTAAAAAGAGGTTGGGTGAGGTGGATCATGCCTGTAATCCCGGCACTTTGGGAGACTGAGGCGGGCACCTCAGTTGAGGTCATGAGTTTGAGAGCAGCCCAGCCAACATGGGGAAACCGCATCTATACTAAAAAAACCAAAAAGTAGCCAGGCATGGTGGTGTGCACCTGTAATCCCAGCTACTAGGGAGGCTGAGGCAGGAAAATCATTTGAACCCAGGAGGCGGAGGTTGCAATGAGCCAAGGTTGCACCACTTTGACTCCAGCTTGGGCTAAGGAGGGAAACTCTTTCTCAAAAAAGAAAAAAAAAAAAAAAAGAGAACTTTCATAGTATCCAGCAATTTCACTACTGGGTTTATATCCAAAGGAAAGTAAATCAACATATCGAAGTGATATCTGCACTCGTATGATTGGTGCAGCACTGTTCACAGTAGCCAAGATGAGGAGTCAACCTACCTGCCCATCAGTGGGTGAATGGATAGAGAGAATGTAGTACATACGCACAGTGGAGACTACTCATCCATAGAAAGAATAACATCCTGTCATTTGCAGCCACATGGATGGAACTGGAGGTCATTAAAAAGATTCCCATTTCTCACCCATATACAGGAGCTAAAAGGTGGATCTCATGAAGGTAGAGAGTAGAATGGTGGCTACTGGAGGACAGGAAGAAAAGGGTGGAGGGTAAAAAAAATGTATATATATATATATATAAAAATGTATTTATGACCACTAGACTTTACACTTAAAAATGGTAAATGTGGCTGGGCCTGGTGGCCCATGCCTGTAATCCCAGCACTTTGGGAGGCTGATGCGGGTGGATCACGTGGTCAGGAGTTCGAGACCAGCTCGACCAACATGGTGAAACCACCTCTCTACTAAAAATACAAAAAGTAGCCTGGCGTGGTGGTGCGTGCCTGTAGCACTAGCTACTCAGGTGGCTGAGGCAGGAGAATCGCTTGAACCCAGGAGGCGGAGGTTGCAGTGAGCTGAGATTGTGCCACTGCACTCCATCATAGGGGACAGAGCTAGACTCCACCTCAAAAAAAAATGTTAAAAGTGGTAAGCTATATAGGTATATTTATCCTCAATAAATATTTCTTCAAAGAAAAGTAAAGGGTGTAGGGGTTGCTGGTGATGACATCTCTGTGTGGGTGAGAGGCCAGGATGGGCTTCTGGGAAATGGGTAAGGTTGAGGGGCTGAGGGAACCTCTGATCTCCCCAAACTGAGCCCAGTCTCCCTCCTCTGGGTCTCTCCTGACCGCTTTCTCCATCTGCCTGGGTGCCTGGAGCCCTGGCCGTGGGCCTCCATGCAGGCCATGTAGGAGGGTTTGGAGGTGCCCTGTCGGCCATCCTGTGCCCTGATCCCTCCCTCACACCGAGGCTGCGTCTTCTCTCTGCATCTGTCCATGCTTCTCTCCATCCTCAGCAGGAAGCTCCTCAGCTAAGGCTCTAGGATCATAGGACATGGGACAGCCATGGGCTTTCCTCACCTGTGACAGAAACAAGCAGTGGGTCACTTGACTTTGACCACTCGTATGGAGAGTCATGGAAAGAGCCGAAGCATCTGTAGGTCCCTCCGTGGGTGGCAGGGCCCAGAGGAAAGTCAGCCTGGAATGTTCCGTTGACCTTGGGCCCTGCAGGGAGCCTACGTTCATGGGCCTCCCCTTCCCTGGATAGATGGTACATGTCATAGGAGCTCCGGGAGCTGCAGGACAAGGTCACATTCTCTCCTGCCAGAACCGTGGGGCCCAGCTGGGCTGAGAGAGAAGGTTTCTCATATAGACCTGGAAGGAGAAGAGGCAGTTTCCTCAGGGAGGATCTTCTTTGTCACAGCTCCCTTCACCTGAGCTGAGAACTCACTCCCCTGTTCTATGACCTAATGCTCTCTCTCTCTCTCTCTCACCCTCTACCCCATCGCTCTTCATGTCTATTTCCTCCTTCCACCTTCTCTGTCTCTCTAGGTCTCTGACCTCACTTCCCCACCTCTAGATATGTTTTCTCTTTTTGGATTGTTTTATTCTCTCTGACTCTCCTTGGATTGGTTGACTTGATGTTACTTTTTTTAATTCTGAGTTTCTCACTTTGTGTCCTGTTCATAACTTTCTGCATATTTCTATCTATTATCTATCGATCTATCTATTTATCTATTTGGTGCCTATCTACAAATTCTCTACCTGTCATCTATATCTATATATCATCTATTTATCCATCAATTGTCTATCTATCCATCAATCATCTATTATCTATATCTATGTATCATCTCTCTCTCTCTATGATTTCTCTATGTCTGCCTCTGTATCTCTATGTATTATCTATCTATCTGTCTTCATCATCATCATCTCTATGTCTCATCTATTAATGAATCAATCAATCATCATCTATGTATCTATAACCTATTATCTATCATCTACCTATTTATCATCTATCTATATCTATCCATCTATCATCTGTCTTGCTCTGCCTCTCGGTCTCTCTAGTTCTCTTTGGAATCTCTGCAATTCATCCCCACATCTCCATCTTTCAATGTCCTTGTGCCTCTCCCTCAGGAGTCTAATTTTAGTGCTTTTCTCTGCTCCCTTCCATCATTCTCACCACTCCTCTGCCCTCTTTTCTCTCTCTTTATGTGTCTGTGAGTCTCTCAATCTCCTTCCTCTGGCTCATTCTCTGTGTGTTTATGTCTTTGCTTTTTGGTGTCCCTGATTTCTCTCTGTGCCTCTCACTGATCCTCTCATAAGTGGGCTTATTTGGAATATGAGCCTCAGAATCCAGTCTGGAGACTACAAGTTCACACAGCATACAGGGGTTGGTGTTGTGGGGCCATGATATCCTGGGACGATTACTCTCCATTACATGGAAGGCAGAGGTGTCAGAATAAACATGGCATCTGTAGGTGCCACAAGGCCTGAGGCCACAGGGCCCAACTCAGGTCAGAAATATGGGTGTCCTTGGGTTCTCCTGGTAGAGAACACTTTGTGGAGGTAAAACAGAAATGAAACTTCTAACCTGTGCCAGGTCTCTGAGCAAAGTCAGCATGGAGGGACACCTCTCTCTGGGACATGTCTGTCTGTGTGTCTCCTTTAACTCTTTCTGTCTTTTCTAACTCCCGGTATGGCCCCTGTGTCTGTTCTCTGTTATGACACCTGGTCTCTACTTGTGTCTCCTGTTTCTCTGTCTCTGTTGGCACAGACCTCACCAAGTCAGTCTCTCTCCATAAGAATACCAAGCTCATCTTCCTTACAGCCACCTGGGTCTCCAATTCCTGGATCATTCACTCTGCATCCCAATGACAATGAGAAGAAAGTCTGGACACTCTCACCTATGATCACGATGTCCAGAGGGTCACTGGGAGCTGACACCTGATAGGGGGAGTGAGTAACAGAACCGTAGCATCTGTAGGTCCCTGCCAGGTCTTGCGTCATGCGACTGATGGAGAAGTTGGCCTTGGAGACCCCATCATGGTGTTCTCCAATGAGGCGCAAAGTGTCGTTAAACATCCCCTCTCTGTGCAGAAGGAAGTGTTCAAACATGACATCTGACCAACACTGCAGGATGACTGTCTCTTCTGATTTCACCAGGCGACCTGGGTGGGCCAGGAGGGAAGGTTTTCTGTGGACTCCTAGGAAGAGAGGTTGTGAGTTTAGAAGGTGTCTCTCTTTATCATCCCATCCATGGCACCTGGATTGAGTCAGGCTTCCCCTTCCTGGTGTCTTATCTCTCTCCTTCCTCTCTGTGTCTTCATGTTCTTTTCTGTGCCCATAACTCCTGGTGCAGGTCCTTCCATCTGTCTCCCTCACTCTTCTCTGTCCCTCTGTCTCTAGTAGCCTCTGATTCCCTTGCCGCTGGGCTCAGCCTCATCTCTTGGGCTGTTGTATCTATTTCGAACTAATGTCTTTCCTGCTGTCTATGTGGGGGTGGAAGAGGAACCAGGATAGGCTGCACATCCAGGCTCTTAGCAGCCTGGTTCAATCTCTTTTGGACGAATTGGAATCCTTGGCAGGAGGTATGAACTGATCAGTAAGGCAGGCACCAGTGGCCACACACCCTGTTCCTGGTAGGGACTGGGAGCCACTCTTGCCATGCCAGTGCCAGCTTCCATAGGCTGGCTCCTGGTGCTGGTTGGAGGAGTATCAACCCCTCCCTATGTGGATGGAGCCTGGTGGTGGCATCATCATCTGAGCCTTGCTGATCTCAGTGTAGCCAACCTTCTCCTTGTTTGGTTTCTTTAATTAATTAATTAATTTTGGCGACAGAGTCTCACTCCTTTGCCCAGGCTGGAGTGAAGTGGTGTGGTCTAGGCTCACTGCAACCTCTGTCTCCTGGGTTCAAGTGATTCTCCTGCCCTCAGCCTCCCAAGTCGCTAGGATTACATGCACCTGCCACCATGCCTGGCTATCCTTGTGTTGTTTCTTAACTTGTCCTTGACCTGGGTTCCAGTGTTGGTTTCCTGTTGCTGCTGTAGAAAATTATCAGAAGCATGGCACCAGGAGAGAGCACACTAACCCCTTCCAATTCTGGAGACAGAAATCGGACCCTGTTTGTCGTGGGTAAAATCAAGGCACCTGCAGGGCTTCGTTCCCTCTGGAGACTCAGGAGAATCAGTTCCTTGACTTTTCCAGCCTCTATAGGCCACCTGCATTCATGGCTCCTGGACTTCCTCCACCTTCAAAGCTGATGGAGACTCCCATTATGCTGCTGTAATCCCCACTCCCCTCTTCCTCCTCCTTTCATGTGGACCCCTGTGACTACACTGAGCCCATCAGGACAGTCCAGGCTGTCTCCCCATCTCAAGGTCAACTCATCAACAACCTGAGCTCCATCTTCTCCTTCAGTCCCTTCCCCTATATCATAAATAGTCACAGACTCCAGGGATTAGAATGTAGTCATCACTGGGGACAATTATTCTTCCCACCACAGCACCCATTTCCCTGTATTCAATCCCCCTTTACCCCAAATACAGTCAGGACTTGCATGATGGGACCCGCAAGGACACGCCCACCAGGAGCTCTGGGATTCAGGAGGTGGGACAAGGAGAATCCCAGACAGGAGCCCTCTGACCTGTGACCGTGATCTCCAGGGGGTTGCTGGGTGCCGACCACCCACTGGGGTAGTGTGGTTGTGAACCCCGACATGTATAGGTCCCTGCGTGTGCTGGGGTCACAGGGCCCATGAAAAGGCTGTTCCAGAATATTATGTTGTAGAGCTCAGGGACAGGCACCCCATCTTCCTTTTACAGACTGAAGTTGTTAAACCCAAGATAAGAATGACACTGAAGAATCACATGTCCTGGAGGCACCACAGGGCTTGGCCAGGCAGACAGCAAGGGCTTGTCCTGACCACCGTGGGGAGAAGGAGGCACCGCCTTAGAGAGGAGGATGTGGAGCCGCCCCTCCCTCCCTGTGCTCTGAAGATTCTCCTCGCTTTCCAAGTTTCTATGGCTGCTATCACACCTTGGTGCCCAGGGCTAAAGGAAGGACCCATCCCGCAAACACAAGGTGTCTCCCTACAACAAAAGTGTCAGCTGAGAACTTTGAGCAAGTGCTGAGTAAGAGACTCCTACTAGATTTTAATACTGTAAGATTACTCACATAAAACAACACAGGGTAGACATGGGGTGGAGGGCATGTCCTTTGAGAATGGAATATCAGCCGATGCCTGAACGAAAATAAACAACTGAGTCCCCATCAGAGGATTGGAATGTCAGGGCCATGGCTGTGGTTTTCCCACCTCTTCTGGTAGAATGACAGCAGCCACACTGCAGCCCCTACCGTCATGGAAACGCTGAAGTGTGTGAGTAACACCTTTGTCCTCAGAGGATCTGCTGTTCCTACCACTTCCCCACCACACACCCCAGCTTTGAGCACCGTAGTCTAACCCTGGTCCCCACAGAACTTGACTCTGCCAAGGGAATGAAAGGCCAGGGAGGCAAGGTCAGAAATGTGGGCCCAGCACCCCAGGGTCCCTTCTTCCTAGTTTATGAGAGACTCCCTGACAGGACTTCCCTCCCATTTCAGGAAAATCCTCTTATGTGGGGAGATGACACCCGAAGGTTGGGAGAAGGACTCACCCTCATGTGGCCAGGCCCCCTGCAGCAAGAAGAACCCTGGAAAGAAAGATCATGATGGATGACCCATCTGCAGGCAAACCAGGGCACCCTTGCTGCCCCCACTGGGCTGTGAGTCTTGGTAGCCAGGCCCTTCCTGGGCTGAAGGTAAACTCACCCTCAGTGCCTACCTGCACCCAAGAACAGGGCTGTCGGCTGTGCAGAGACCCAGCCTCCAGGTCCATATCCCCACCTCAAGCCCATATCTCCACTCCAGGCCCATATCTCCACTCCAGGCCGATATTTCCACCCTAAGCCCATATCGCCAATCCAGGCCCATATCTCCAATCCAGGCTCAGATCTCCACCCTGGGCCCATATCTCCAATCCAGGCCCTTATCTCCACTCCAGGTCCATATCTCCTCTCCAGTCCCATATCTCCACTCCAGGCCCATATATCCTCTCCAGTCCCATATCTCCACACCCAGGCCCGTATCTCCATCCTAGGCACATATCTCCTCTCCAGGCCCAGATATCGACCTCTAGGCCCATATCTCCACTCCTGGCCCATATCTCCACTCCAGGCCCAGATATCGACCTCTAGGCCCATATCTCCACTCCTGGCCCATATCTCCACTCCAGGCCCATGTCTCCACTTCAGGCCCATATCTCTACTGCAGGCCCATAACTCCACCTCCAGGCCCATGACTCCACTCCAGGCCCATATCTCCACCTCCAGGCCCATATCTCCCCTCCAGGTTCCTATCTCCCCTCCAGGTTCCTATCTCCACTCCAGGCCCAGATCTCCACTACAGTCCCATCACTCCACCTCCAGGCCTATATCTCGACCTCTGGGCCCAGATCTCCACTTCTAGGCCCATCACTCCATCTCTAGGCCCATATATCCACTCCAGGCCCAGATCTCCACTCCAGGCCCATAACTCCACCTCCAGGCCTATATCTCCACCTCTGGGCCCAGATCTCCATCCCCTCACTCCCTCCCTCTATTGCTTTCCAGGACTCACCAACACACGCCATGCTGACGACCAAGAGCGACATGGTGCTGCCGGAGCAGACAGGCAGCCGCGACCGAGCTCAGCTCAGCAGCGCACAGGATGTTATTTGGCGCCCTGCCCATGCAGTTTACATGTTGACCACATCATGGGAGGGTGACGTACGCAGGCTCTTTCTACCTTGCATGAGGCCCAGTGGGTGCTCGCTCAAGAGCGGAACACGGCTTCCTGGAAATTGTTCTCGCTAGAATTTGACACCTAGTGTCCTTCACTATGACCAACTCAAAACACGTCTCAGATCCAACCTCCGGAACACAGGATGCCTAAAATCTGTGCTAACATGAAAGACTTTTCATGTATTTCTATTGTTTTTATCTGAGATTCAAACTCTTCTTCCTGTGTAATATGCAAAATATCTAATAGGTATTATTAATGTTTTCAGAGTCATTGTCACTAATAAACCATTAGAATTTTTCATGCTTGTATTTCTAGTATTACAGCAGAACCAGTTAAAATGATTTAAATTCCCAGGGAAGGATTATGCAATTATTTACAATCTTAGAATTGTACTTTATCAGTAAAAACCCCACCTGTAAATTCTGGAGTTTTGTAGTTTAATCTAAAATTTGTCTCATGACCCAAGATTCCAGAGTCCCAACTCTGGAGTTTGTTTTCCGTCTGTCTCTCTCCCTCCCTCATTTTAAATTTTACAGAAATATCCAGTAACATAATGCTATAGAAAATCAAGTTTCCCCAGCACGTTGGGAAGCCGAGGTGGGCGGATCAACTGAGATAAGGAGTTTGAGAGCAGCCTGGCCAATATAGTGAAACCGTGTCTCTGCTAAAAATCCAAAAATTAGCCGTGCCTGGTGGCAGGCACCTGTAACGCCAGCTACTCAAGAGGCTGAGGCATGAGAATCGCTTGAACCTGGGAGGCAGAAGTTGCAGTGAGCTGAGATTGTGTCACTGCAGTCCAGCCTGGGCGACAGAGCAAGACTCCGCCTCAAGAAAAAAAAGCAAATAGCCTATAATAACAAATTAGAGAGCTCTGGCTACTAAATTTAAAGGGTTCTATAAGGCTACATAAAGTGCAGCATCATCAAGAGTGTGGACACAGAGAGCCCCTTAGCAGAAACAGTGTCTAAAGTACATCCGTGTACACACAGTCCCTTTAGAGTTGACAAAGGCTGCCGTGTGGTTTAAGGTGGCATAGAATGTCTTCTCAATAAATAATATTAAACCAATGGGTTATACCTAGGAAAAAATAAATCTAACTCACACTATAAAAACACTTCTTAGTTTTTATCTAGTTGTACATTTTTTATGATTTATATTTAAATTTGAGAAATAAAAGTCATATACGGTCATCCTTCACTATTCGTGGGTGATTGGTTTCGAGATCTCCACTCAGATACCAAAATCTGTAGATGCTCAAGCCTCTTATATGAAATGGCACAGAGTTTGCAAATAACCTATGCACATCCTCCTGTATACATGAAATCATCTCTAGATTACTTATAATTCCTGATGCAGCCTACACACAGCTTCATTTGTGTCCATTCAACACAGTTCTGCTTTTTGTAACTCTGTGGATACTTTCTCTGAATATTTTTGATTTATACTCGGTTCAATAAAGAACTGTAAACCCCACAGATATGGAGGAGTGACTGTATATTTATAGTGTGAAAGATGATGTGTTGATATGTGTCCCTGTGTAGATGAGACTAACAAGGCCTATGATTCTACAAATGTTTCATCTTGGAATGACTCTGCCAGATTTCCAGGTCTGCAGAGAGTAAGAATATCACTTGTTCATGTGATTCACGATCCTTGGAACCTCCTATGTGCTACATCTTTGGATGGAAATAGGAGTCCCAGAGACAAATGAGGCTCCACCCTGCTTCCAGAAACTCAGAGTCCGGGGGTGAGAACCCAGTGGAGAACAGATGGGGTTATGTGGACATGGTAATGATAATGGAAGTCTTAGGCAAGAAAAGAGTCCCATTACCGAAACCATGAGGGCAGACATGTTTATTTGAAGGAGGGAAAACTACATTGAAATTATTTTAAAAAATATATAAGTTTTACTGCTGACAGAAGGCTGAAAGATACTCTGAGGGGAGGTGGAACAGCATGAGGGAAGGTGGAACAGGACGTGTCTAAGTGCCGTGTTAAGAGGGAGCCTCTTGTATGTTTGGAACTGTGAGTTCCTCAGTGTGATTGCAGCCTCAAGTAGACTAGGAAGTAAGCCAGTAAGGTTGGAGAGGTGGGCAGGGGTCAAGTGAAATGGAGAATTGTGGGCTAAGCAAAGGAGTGTGTTTTCTCTCCAGCAGGCAGTGGGGACCTTAGACATTTGTAAGCAAGAGAGAGGCACATTCAGATTTGTGGTGTGAGGAAGAGCGATGCCCTAAGATGCAGACTCACGCCTTCAGATTCCAGCTGCTGGTACATGGGAGCTGGCAACCCGGTTTTGAGACAGGGCTGTTGTCTCCCTAGAAGATCCCCTCAAGGCCTGACTGTGGTGCTCATGGGCAGGAGACAACTTTGGATCTGGACTCAGCATTTGGAAGTTCCGTGTACACTCTGGTATCTGTTGGGGGTGTCTTGGGCCTCTGAGAAGGGCGAGTGATTTTTCTCTGTGTGAAAACGCAGTGATCCAACTGTACGTATGTCACCTCCTGAGGGTCTTGTTCATCAGAGTCCTGGAGAGAGGGAAATCCTGAGTGAGGGAGGGTGCTCACGTTTTCCAGGACTGTTTGGGAATAACACTAGCCACGAGGCTGGGCCGAGGAGCACCTACCTCGCTATTCGCTGTTCTGTTCCCTGCAGGCTCTTGGTCCATTACAGCAGCATGTGTAGGAGACGGAAGTCAACAAAAGAGCTCGGAGGGCACTTCTGGGTCCTCATTTCATAAGCAGATACCAACAAACAGGGGGAGGCCATAGGTGCCTGAGGTCCCTCAGTTGCCAACAGCAGACTCAGACATTCTATCTCTCTGAGCTCAAGGACCCATCCCATGAATAGCTCTGAGTTCCCATCCCATTGATTCTGTCTCCCACTTTCTGCCTGTCATGGAACCTTCTCCTGGATGTGAGTGGCTGCAGGGGACATGAGGATACAGTTCAGAATCAGGCAACGGTCTGTGAGCTGAAAGCAGGGACAGGGAGTCTGGTGCCCTCTCTAGAAAGTCCTGCCTCTGTGGCTGCTGCCTTGGGCCAGGGACCATCCTACCTGTGAGGAACACACACCTGAGTGCTCCCATCCTGCTTCCCCACATGGCCCTGAGCTCTCTGGCCTCTCCTTCGTGAGACTTACTTTTCTTGTTGGAGCACCAGCGATGAAGGAGAAAGAAGAGGAGGAGGATGAAGAGGATGATGACCACTGAGGTCCCAATCAGAACGTGCAGGTGTCTTGGGTTACCTGGAAGAAGATGAGACACCAATAAGAAGCTAATCATAGCAGTTCCTCTTTATGAATTGTCTCGCATTTCTTGATTGACAGGTAACCACGTAAAACACCTCTTTAGGACAAGCACCCAGATGGCGGGAGACCCAGCTTTCTCCTGCTTTCTCAGTTATAGCTCTCAAAGTAACCATAGAATGTGCTGAGGACACAACTACTTTAGTTGAGATGTTTGACCCCTTCAAACCTCACATTGAAATTTCACCCCCATTGTGGGAGGTTGGGCCTCTTGAGAGGTGTTTGGGTCATGGAGGTGGATCCATCATGAACAGATCAATGCTGTCCCAAGGAGACGGGGTTAGCTAGTTCCCCCTCTATTAGTTCCTGGAGAGCTGGTTGTTCAAAAGAACTTGGAAGCTCCATCGCTCCCCCTCCCCCTTGCTCCCTCTCTTGCCGTGTGATCTCTGTGGTCTCTGCACAGACAGACCCTCCTTCCCTTCTGCCAGAGTGGGAGCAGCCTGAGGCCATCACGAGAAATAGATGCTGGTGCCATGCTTCCAGTACAGCCTGCAGAACGGTGAGGCAAACCAATCTCTTTTCTTTAGAAGTTGCCCAGGCTCAAGTGTTCCTTTAGAGCAACAAAAATGGACTAAGACAGCAACGTCCTGAGATCAGGAGGAACGTCCCAGAGCAGCCTGGGCTGTCTTCCTGTTCTTCCTGGAGGAGGACGTCATGCAGTGCTTTAGCTGAGTGCTTCCTGTGGCTCCAGGGTACAAAACCCAGGCTGGGCTGCTTTCTGGCTTCCCCCAGCTACACTGCAAATGGGGTGACTCCATATGTCCCGAGCAGCTTTTCTGAGCCTTGAGGGACTGGCTCACATTGAAATGTAGGCTTCTGTTTTCACTCGCTGCTTATCTGTTAGTAATGAACCTGCCTATGTAACGTATTCTCTGTGTGTTCTGTCTCCCTGGAGTGACGGTGAGTGATAGGAATTGGCGTAGGCCCAGGTGCAGTCTAGGAGGTGTTTAGGGTCTTTTCTGGGAAGACTGCACTGGGATTGACACACAGCGAATGTGCTTTAGGATTTCTACATCCACAGCATTCTTGAGTCAAACAACTTGCGTTCTCCAAGGAAAGGAAACAAAAGTGAAATCAAGATAAAAAAGCGAAATAGAGTTATCTTATGTCCAACAGCCAGGAAATCGTGTTGAAGCCCCTGTGAAACGTCCTACTCTTTGTGATCTCGGGAGACACATGTTAGGCTGCTGTTCTACCTGAGAGGCTGGGGGAAGGACCACCCCCTCCACCATCTATTGCTTCAATACCACCTGTCCTCCTGTGAATTAGTAGGAAAGGGGAGCAGGAGCTAGTGCTGGTGCTGATCTCTCATTCCAAGATCTGGACTCACTCCAAGGAGTATTAATGTTTACCTCCCCATGGTCTATCTGAATCTCCACAGGTGATTGGAAGTAGGGGTGAAGTGGGGGATTTGAGTGAGAGGGCAAGTTTTTTTTGTGATGAACAGAGCACTTTCTCTATTCCACGATCTGTGCTGGAGGATTCAGCGGGCTTTCACATTTTCTATATGGTCTCATGCTCACAGAAAGCCAAATACGGAAGAGGTTTTAGGCTCATTGCCTAATGGATAAGACAAAGGATCAAAGAAGTAATTATAGAGAAATACAAAAATGATGATTGGAATTCAGGTGCCTTTGTCATTCGTGTGTGTTTTATTATATTTATGCATTTCTTATTTTTATTTTTTGAGACGGAGTCTCCTTGTGTCACCCAGGCTGGAGTGCAGTGATGCAATCTCCACTCACTGCAACCTCCACCTCCTGGGTTGAAGTCGTTCTCCTGCTTCATCCTCAAGAGTAGGAGCTGGGATTACAGGGATGCACCACCATGCTCGGCTAATTTTTGTATTTTTCATAGAGACAGGGTTTCACCATTTTGGCCAGGCTGGTCTGGAACTCCTGACTTCAAGTGATCCACCCGCCTTGGCCTCCTGCAGTGCTGGGAATTGCCTTTTCCACGGCCTGAGCATGGGGCCGTGGCTGAATGAGTCAGTGAGTCGAAGTGTGCGTGCATGAGCTCCGTTCTCTGTTAAGGCAAAGCTCTTGCTCTGCTGAGTCAGCCAGGGTTGCTTCATGACCAACAGTAATTCATTCCTGGGCAAGTGGAACTTCTCTAAAACACCTCGCCCTCATCAAATGTTCCCTACCCTTCCCTCTCTCAAGCCCCCAGGAATTTATCCTCCAGTTAGGAATGCAGGCAGAACAAACATTGCATTTTTCCTGAGAAGGATGTCAGATTGCCAATCATTTTTCTAGCTTGTAGGAGATCTCAGCTCCATAAAATGAGAGATTAAGAGATTTCACAGAGCCCTGTTTTGGGTCCAGATCCCTTTCGCTGTTGGAGTATCTGGAGTTTGGAGATGGTAGAAGACAGGCGTACAATGTCAGAGCTGTGAGATGCTGAGTCAACGCCTGAATCCAAGGTTTCCACCTCCCCAGGTTTCCAAAAGCGGATATAAGAGGGTTCTGTACTCACCGGTTTTGGAGCTTGGTTCAGTGGGTGAAGGCCAACTATTTGAAGGGTTTCCTAGAACATGAGACAGGAGAGAGGTGAGGAAATGAGGGTGTCTGTCCTCTACTCAGTGGAAATCTTTGAGGTTGGTTCATGGCCAACACTCTGTTATCTAATATTGGGCCCTGGGAGTCCTGGGATCCTTTTTTCCGTAATTTTTGTATGTGACGGCTACTGTCTTGAGACTTCAAGGTATAAAGAGAAAACAGGAGCATCACACTACCTGATCTCAAAATATGTTACAGAGCTGTAGTAAGCAAGACAGCATGACGTTGGCATGAAGAAAGGCACATAGAACAACGGAGCAGAATGAATAACACAGATATAATCCATGCATTTACCTCCAATGTATTTTTTGTTTTTCTTTTGAGATGGAGTCTTGCTCTGTCACCCAGGCTGGAGTGCAGAGGTGCAATCTCGGTTCACTGCCACCACAGCCTCCTGGGTTCAATCACTTCTCTTGCCTCAAACTCCTGAGTAGTGGTATTACAGGTGCTGACCACCATGCTCAGCTAATTTTTATATTTTTAGTGGAGACGATGTTTCATCACGTTGGCCAGACTAATCTTGAACTCTTGGCCTCAGGTGATCCACCCACCTCGGGCTCCCAAAGTGCTGAAATTGCAGGTGTCAGCCACCATGCCCAGCCCATCCAATGGACTTTGACAAAGGTGCCAAGAACTCACAATCAGGAAAGGACAGTCTTTTCAATAAACAGTGCAGGGAAACCTGGACATCGACATGCAGAGGAATGAAACTGCACCTCTGCCTGTCACTATACACAAAAATCAAATGAAAATGGATTAAAGATGTGAGTCTAAGGCCTGAACCTATGAAACACGTAGAAGAAAATATTGGGGAAATGCTCCAGGACGTTTGTCTGAAGGAAGACATTTTGTTTTAAACCTTCAAAACACAAGTAATCGAAGCAAAAATAGACCATTGGGATTACCTCAAACTAAGCAACTTCTGCACCGCTAAAAATAAACCAACAAAGTGAAGAGACAACCCACAGATTGGGAGCAAATATGTGCAAACTATGCATCTGAGATGGGATTAATAACTAGAAATATAAGAAGCTCAAACAACTCAATAAAACAAATGATTTAATTGAAACAGGAGCAAAAGACATGAAATTTCCCCACATACGAAAAAGTGCTCAGTATCACTCATCATCAGAGAAACACAAATTAAAATCAAAGTGAGTTTTCATCTCACCCCATTAAAATGGCTTTTAGGCCGGGCGTGGTGGCTCACGTCTGTCATCCTAGAACTTTGAGAGCCTGAGGTGGGTGAATCTCATAAGGTCGGGAGTTTGAGACCAGTCTGACCCACATGGAGAAACACTGTCTCTACTAAAAATACAAAAATTAGTCGGGCGTGGTGGCGTGTGCCTGTAATTCCAGCTACTCGGGAGGCTGAGGCAGGAGAATCGCTTGAACCTGGGAGGTGGAGGTTGTGGTGAGCCGAGATCGCACCACTGCACTCAGCCTGGGTGACAAGAGCGAAACTCCATCTCAAAATAAAATGAAATAAAATAAAATGGCTTTTAGCTGCAAGACAGGCAAAAGAAATGCTGGCAAGGTGTTAGAGAAAGGAGAATCCTGGTATCCTGTTGGTAGGAGTGTAAATTAGTACAGCCATTACGGAGAAAAGTGTGGAAGTCCTTTAAAGAACTAAAAAGAGGTTGGGTGAGGTGGATCATGCCTGTAATCCCGGCACTTTGGGAGACCGAGGCGGGCACCTCAGTTGAGGTCATGAGTTTGAGAGCAGCCCAGCCAACATGGGGAAACCGCATCTATACTAAAAAAAACAAAAAGTAGCCAGGCATGGTGGCGTGCGCCTATAATCCCTGATACTAGGGAGGCTGAGGCAGGAAAATCATTTGAACCCAGGAGGCAGAGGTTGCAATGAGCCAAGATGACATCACTTGTACTCCAGCCTGGGCACAGAGGGAAACTGTCTCAAAAACAAAAACAAAACAACAAACGAAAAACTAAAAAGAGAACTTTCATAGTATCCAGCAATTTCACTACTGGGTTTATATCCAAAGGAAAGTAAATCAATATATCGAAGTGATATCTGCACTCGTATGATTGGTGCAGCACTCTTCACAGTAGCCAAGATGAGGAGTCAACCTACCTGCCCATCAGTGGGTGAATGGATAGAGAGAATGTGGTACATTTGCATAGTGGAGACTACTCTTCCATAGAAAGAAAAACATCCTGATATTTGCAGCCACATGGATGGAACTGGAGGTCATTACAAAGATTCCCATTTCTTACCCATATACAGGAGCTAAAAGGTGGATCTCATGAAGGTAGAGAGTAGAATGGTGGCTACCAGAGGCCAGGAAGAAAAGGGTGGAGGGTAAAAAAAAATATGTGTATATATATATATATTAATGTATTTATGACCACTAGACTTTACACTTAAAAATGGTAAATGTGGCTGGGCGTGGTGGCTCATGCCTGTAATCCCAGCACTTTGGGAGGCTGATGCGGGTGGATCACGTGGTCAGGAGTTCGAGACCAGCTTGACCAACATGGTGAAACCCCCTCTCTACTAAAAATACAAAAAGTAGCCTGGCATGGTGGTGCGCGCCTGTAGCACCAGCTACTCAGGTGGCTGAGGCAAGAGAATCGCTTGAACCCAGGAGGCGGAAGTTGCAGTGAGCTGAGATTGTGCCAATGCACTCCAGCATAGGGGACAGAGCTAGACTCCGCCTCAAAAAAAAAATGTTAAAGGTGGTAAGCTATATAGGTATATTTATCCTCAATAAATATTTCTCAAACAAAAGTAAAGGGTGTAGGGGTTGCAGGTGATGACATCCCTGTGTGGGTGGGAGGCCAGGATGGGCTTCTGGGAAATGGGTAATGTTGAGGGGCTGAGGGAACCTCTGATCTTCCCAAACTGAGCCCAGTCTCCCTCCTCTGGGTCTCTCCTGACCGCTTTCTCCATCTGCCTGGGTGCCTGGAGTCCTGGCCGCAGGCCTTCATGCAGGCCATGTAGGAGGGTTTGGAGGTGCCCTGTCTGCCATCCTGTGCCCTGATCCCTCCCTCACACCCAAGCTTCGTCTTCTCTCTGCATCTGTTCATCCTTCTCTCCATCCTCAGCAGGAAGCTCCTCAGCTAAGGCTCTAGGATCATAGGACATGGGACAGCCATGGGCTTTCCTCACCTGTGACAGAAACAAGCAGTGGGTCACTCGAGTTTGACCACTCGTAGGGAGAGTCACGGAAAGAGCCGAAGCATCTGTAGGTTCCTCCGTGGGTGGCAGGGCCCAGAGGAAAGTCAGCCTGGAATGTTCCGTTGACCTTGGGCCCTGCAGAGAACCTACGTTCATGGGCCTCCCCCTCCCTGGATAGATGGTACATGTCATAGGAGCTCCGGGAGCTGCAGGACAAGGTCACGCTCTCTCCTGCCAGAACCGTGGGGCCCGGCTGGGCTGAGAGAGAAGGTTTCTCATATAGACCTGGAAGGAGAAGAGGCATTTTCCTTACGGAGGATCTTCCTTGTCACAGCTCCCTTCACCTGAGCTGAGAACTCACTCCCCTGCTCTATGACCTAATGCTCTCTCTCTCTCTCTCTCTCACCCTCCACCCCATCTCTCTTCATGTCTATTTCCTCCTTCCACCTTCTCTGTCTCTCTAGGTCTCTGACCTCGCTTCCACACCTCTAGATATGTTTTCCCTTTTTGGATTGTTTTATTCTCTCTGACTCTCCTTGGATTGGTTGACTTGATGTTACTTTTTTAAATTCTAAGTTTCTCACTTTGTGTCCTGTTCATAACTTTCTGCATATTTCTATCTATTATCTATCGATCTATCTATTTATCTATTCGGTGCCTATCTACAAATTCTCTACCTGTCATCTATATCTATATATCATCTATGTATCTATCACTTGTCTATCTATCCATCAATCATCTGTTATCTATATCTATGTATCATCTCTCTCTCTATGACTTCTGTCTGCCTCTCTATCTCTATGTATTATCTATCTGTCTTCATCATCATCATCTCTATGTCTCATCTATTAATGAATCAATCAATCATCATCTATGTATCTTTAACCTATTATCTATCATCTACCTATTTATCATCTATCTATATCTATCCATCTATCATCTGTCTTGCTCTGCCTCTCGGTCTCTCTAGTTCTCTTTGGAATCTCTGCAATTCATCCCCACATCTCCATCTTTCTATGTCCTTGTGCCTCTCCCTCAGGAGTCTAATTTTAGTGCTTTTCTCTGCTCCCTTCCATCATTCTCACCACTCCTCTGCCCTCTTTTCTCTCTCTTTATGTGTCTGTGAGTCTCTCAATCTCCTTCCTCTGGCTCATTCTCTGTGTGTTTATGTCTTTGCTTTTTGGTGTCCCTGATTTCTCTCTGTGCCTCTCAGTGATCCTTTCATATGTGGGGTTATTTGGAATGTGAGCCTCAGAATCCAGTCTGGAGACCACAAGTTCACACAGCATACAGGAGTTGGTGTTCTGGGGCCATGATATCCTGGGACGGTTACTCTCCATTACATGGAAGGCAGAGGTGTCAGAATAAACACGGCATCTGTAGGTGCCACAAGGCCTGAGGCCACAGGGCCCAACTCAGGTCATAAATATGGGTGTCCTTGGGTTCTCCTGGTAGAGAACACTTTGTGGAGGTAAAACAGAAATGAAACTTCTAACCTGTGCCAGGTCTCTGAGCAAAGTCAGCATGGAGGGACACCTCTCTCTGGGACATGTCTGTCTGTCTGTCTCCTTTAACTCCTTCTGTCTTTTCTAACTCCCGGTATGGCCCCTGTGTCTGTCCTCTGTTATGACACCTGGTCTGTACTTGTGTCTCCTGTTTCTCTGTCTCTGTTGGTACAGACCTCACCAAGTCAGTCTCTCTCCATAAGAATACCAAGCTCATCTTCCTTACAACTACCTGGGGGTTCCAAGTCGTGGATCATTCACTCTGCATCCCAATGACAATGAGAAGAATGTCCGGACACTCTCACCTGTGATGACGATGTCCAGAGGGTCACTGGGAGCTGACAACTGATGGGGGAGTGAGTAACAGAACCGTAGCATCTGTAGGTCCCTGCCAGGTCTTCCATCATGGGACCGATGGAGAAGTTGGCCTTGGAAACCCCATCATGGTGCTCTCCAGTGAGGTGCAAAGTGTCGTTAAACTTCCCTTCTCTGTGCAGAAGGAAGTGCTGAAACCTGACATCTGACCAACATTGCAGGATGACTGTCTCTTCTGATTTCACCAGGGGACCTGGGTGGGCCAGGAGGGAAGGTTTTCTGTGGACTCCTAGGAAGAGAGGTTGTGAGTTTAGAAGGTGTCTCTCTTTATCATCCCATCCATGGCACCTAGAATGAGTGAGGCTTCCCCTTGCTGGTGTCTGTCTCTCTCCTTCCTCTCTGTGTCTTCATGTTCTTTTCTGGGCCCATAACTCCTGGTGCAGGTCCTTCCATCTGTCTCCCTCCCTCTTCTCTGTCCCTCTGTCTCTAGTCGCCTCTGATTCCCTTCCCACTGGGCTTAGCCTCATCTCTTGGGGTGTTGTATCTATTTCACACTAATGTCTTTCCTGCTGTTTATGTGGGGGTGAAAGAGGAACCAGGATAGGCTGCACATCCAGCCTCTTATCAGCCTGGTTCAATCTCTTTTGGATGAATTGGAATCCTTGGCAGTAGGTATGAACTGATGAATAAGGCAGGCACCAGTGTCCACACACCCTGTTCCTGGTCGGGACTGGGAGCCACTCTTGCCATGCCTGTGCCTTCTCCATGGTGCCAGCTTCCATAGGCTGGCTCCTGGTGCTGGTTTGAGGAGTATCAACCCCTCCCTATGTGGATGGAGCCTGGTGGTGGCATCATCATCCCACACTTGCTCATCTCGGTGTAGCCAACCTTCCCCTTGTTTGGTTCCTTTAATTAATTAATTAATTATGGAGACAGAGTCTCACTCCTTCACCCCAGCTGGAGTGAAGTGGTGTGGTCTAGGGTCACTGCAACCTCTGTCTCCTGGGTTCAAGTGATTCTCCTGCCCTCAGCCTCCCAAGTCGCTAGGATTACATGCGCCTGCCACCACACCCGGCTATCCTTGTGTTGTTTCTTACCTTGTCCTTGACCTGGGTTCCAGTGTTGGTTTCCTGTTGCTGCTGTAGAAAATTATCAGAAGCATGGCAGCAGGAGAGAGCACACTGACCCATTTCACTACTGGAGACAGAAATAGGACCCTGTTTTTCCTGGGCTAAAATCAAGGCATCTGCAGGGCTTCGTTCCCTCTGGAGACTCTGGAGAATCATTTCCTTGACTTTTCCAACCTCTACAGGCCACCTGCATTCATGGCTCCTGGCCTTCCTCCACCTTCAAAGCTGGTGGAGTCTCCCATTGCGCTGCTCTAATCCCCACTCCCCTCTTCCTCCTCCTTTCATGTGGACCCTTGTGATTACACTGAGCCCAGCGGGACAGTCCAGGCTGTCTCCCCATCTCAAGGTCAACTCATCAACAACCTGAGCTCCATCTTCCCCTTCAGTTCCTTCCCCTATAACATAAATAGTCACAGACTCCAGGGATTAGAATGTAGTCATCACTGGGGACAATTATTCTTCCCACCACAGCACCCATTTCCCTGTATTCAATCCCCCTTTACCCCAAATATAGTCAGGGCCTGGGTGATGGGACCCTCAAGGACACGCCCACCAGAAGCTCTGGGATTCAGGAGGTGGGAAAGGAGAATCCAAGACAGGAGCCCTCTGACCTGTGGCCATGATCACCAGGGTGTTGCTGGGTGCCGACCACCCACTGGGGTAGTGTGGGTGTGAACCCCGACATCTGTACGTCCCTGTGTGTGCTGGGGTCACAGGGCCCATGAAAAGGCTCTTCCAGAATATTCTGTTGTAGAGCTCAGTGCCAGGCACCCCATCTTCCTTTTACAGACTGAAGTTGTTAAACCCAAGATAAGAATGACACCGAAGAATCACATGTCCTGGAGGCACCACAGAGCTGGGCCAGGCAGACAGCAAGGGCTTGTCCTGACCACCTTGGGGAGAAGGAGGCACCGCCTTAGAGAGGAGGATGTGGAGCCACCCCTCCCTCCCTGTGCTCTGAAGATTCTCCTCGCTTTCCAAGTTTCTATGGCTGCTATCACACCTTGGTGCCCAGGGCTAAAGGAAGGACCCATCCCGCAAACACAAGGTGTCTCCCTACAACAAAAGTGTCAGCTGAGAACTTTGAGCAAGTGCTGAGTAAGAGACTCCTACTAGATTTTAATACTGTAAGATTACTCACATAAAACAACACAGGGTAGACATGGGGTGGAGGGCATGTCTTTGAGAATGGAATATCAGCAGATGCCTGAATGAAAATAAGCAACTGAGCCCCCATCAGAGGATTTGGAATGTCAGGGCCATGGCTGTGGTTTCCCACCTCTTCTGGTGGAGTGACAGCAGCCACACTGCAGCCCCTACCGTCATGGAAACGCTGAAGTGTGAGTAACACCTTTGTCCTCAGAGGATCTGCTGTTCCTACCACTTCCCCACCACGCACCCCAGCTTTGAGCACCCCAGTCTAACCCTGGTCCCCACAGAACTTGACTCTGCCAAGGGAATGAAAGGCCAGGGAGGCGAGGTCGGAACTGTGGGCCGAGCACCCCAGGGTCCCCTCTTCCTAGTTTATGAGAGGCTCCCTGACAGGACTTCCCTCCTGTTTCAGGAAAATCCTCTTATGTGGGGAGATGACACCCTAAGGTTTGGAGAAGGACTCACCCTCATGTGGCCAGGCCCCCTGCAGCAAGAAGAACCCTGGAAAGAAAGATCATGATGGACCGATCCATCTGCAGGCAAACCAGGCCTCCCTTGCTGCCCTCACTGGGCTGTGAGTCTTGGTAGGCAGGCCCTTCCTGGACTGAAGTTAAACTCACCCTCAGTGCCTACCTGCACCCAAGAACAGGGCTGTCGGCTGTGCAGAGACCCAGCCTCCAAGCCCAGATCCCCACCACAAGCCCATATCCCCACCACAAGCCCATATCTCCACTCCAGGCCAATATTTCCACCCTAGGCCTGTATCTCCACTCCAGGCCCATATCTCCACTCCAGGCCGATATTTCCATCATAGGCCCATATCGCCAATCCAGGCCCATATCGCCAATCCAGGCCAAGATCTCCACTGTAAGCCCATATCTCCAATCCAGGCCCATATCTCCACTCCAGGCTCAGATCTCCAACCCTAGGCCCATATCTCCAATCCAGGCCCATATCTCCACACCAGGCCCATATCTCTACTGAAGGCCAGTAACTCCACCTCCAGGCCCATATCTCCACTCCAGGCCCAGATCTCCACCCCAAGCCCATATCTCCACCCCAGGCCCATATCTCTACTGAAGGCCCGTAACTCCACCTCCAGGCCCATATCTCCACCCCAGGCCCAGATCTCCACCCCAAGCCCATATCTCCACTCTAGGCCCATATCTCCTCTCCAGTCCCATATCTCCACAACCAGGCCCATATCTCCATCCTAGGCCCATATTTCCACTCTAGGCCCAGATATCCACCTCTAGGCCCATATCTCCACTCCTGGCCCAAATCTCCACTCCAGGCCCATATCTCTACTATAGGCCTATAACTCCACCTCCAGGCCCATATCTCCACTCCAGGCTCCTATCTCCCCTCCAGGTTCCTATCGGCACTCCAGGCCCAGATCTCCACTTCTAGGCCCATCACTCCATCTCTAGGCCCATATATCCACTCCAGGCCCAGATCTCCACTCCAGGCCCACAACTCCACCTCCAGGCCTATATCTCCACCTCTGGGCCCAGATCTCCAACCCCACACTCCCTTCCTCTATTCCCTTCCAGGACTCACCAACACACGCCATGCTGACGACCGTGAGCGACATGGTGCTGCCGGTGCAGACAGGCGGCCGTGCCCCAGCTCAGCTCAGCAGCGCACAGGATGTTATTTGGCGCCCTGCCCATGCAGTTTACATGTTGACCACATCATGGGAGGGTGACGTACGCAGGCTCATTCTACCTTGCATGAGGCCCAGTGGGTGCTCGCTCAAGAGCGGAACACGGCTTCCTGGAAATTGTTCTCACTAGAATTTACACCTAGCGTCCTTCACTATGACCAACTCAAAACACGTCTCAGATCCAACCTCCTGAACACGAGATGCCTAAAATCTGTGCTAACGTGAAAGACTTTTCATGTATTTTTATTGTTTTTATCTGAGATTCAAACTCTTCTTCATGTGTAATATGCAAAATATTTAATAGGTATTATTAAGGTTTTCAGAGTCATTGTGACTAATAAACCATTAGAATTTTTCATGCTTGTATTTCTAGTATTACAGCAGAACCAGTTAAAATGATTTAAATTCCCAGGGAAGGATTATGCAATTATTTACAATCTTAGAATTGTACTTTATCAGCAAAAACCACACCTGTAAATTCTGGAGTTTTGTAGTTTAATCTAAAATTTGTCTCATGACCCAAGATTCCAGAGTCCCAACTCTGGAGTTTGATCTCTCTCTGTCTCTCTGCCTCCCTCATTTTAAATTTTACAGAAATATCCAGTAACATAATGCTATAGAAAATCAAGTTTCCCCAGCACGTCGGGAAGCCGAGGTGGGCGGATCAACTGAGATGAGGGGATTGAGAGCAGCCTGGCCAACATAGTGAAACCGTGTCTCTGCTAAAAATCCAAAAATTAGCCATGCCTGGTGGCAGGCACCTGTAACGCCAGCTACTCAAGAGGCTGAGGCACGAGAATCGCTTGAACCTGGGAGGCGGAGGTTGCAGTGAGCTGAGATTGTGTCACTGCAGTCCAGCCTGGGCGACAGAGCAAGACTCCGCCTCAAGAAAAAAAAAAGCAAATAGCCTATAATAACAAATTAGAGGGCTCTGGCTACTAAATTTAAAGGGTTCTATAAGGCTACATAAAGTGTAGCATCATCAAGTGTGTGGACACAGACAGCCCCTTAGCAGAAACTGTCTAAAATACATCCATGTACACACAGTCCCTTTAGAGTTGACAAAGGCTGCCGTGTGGTTTAAGGTGGCATAGAATGTCTTCTCAATAAATAATATTAAACCAATGGGTTACACCTAGTAAAAAATAAATCTAACTCACACTATAAAAACACTTCTTAGTTTTTATCTAGTTGTACATTTTTTGATTTATATTTAAATTTGAGAAATAAAAGTCATATACGGTCATCCTTCACTATTCGTGGGTGATTGGTTTCGAGATCTCCACTCAGATACCAAAATCTGTAGATGCTCAAGCCTCTTATATGAAATGGCACAGCGCTTGCAAATAACATATGCACATCCTCCTGTATACATGAAATCATCTCTTGATTACTTATAATTCCTGATACAGCCTACACACAGCTTCATTTGTGTCCATTCAACATAGTTATGAGTTTTGGAACTCTGTGGATATTTTCTCTGAATATTTTTGATTTATACTTTGTTCAATAAAGACCTGTAAACCCCACAGATACGGAGGAGTGACCGTATATTTATAGTATGAAAGATGATGTGTTGATATGTGTCCCCATGGAGATGAGACTAACAAGGCCTATGACTCTACAAATGTTTCATCGTGGAATGACTCTGCCAGCTTTCCAGGTCTGCAGAGAGTAACAATGTCACTTGTTCATGTGATTCCCGATCCTTGGAACCTCCTATGTGCTGCATCTTTGGATGGAAATTGGAGTCCCAGAGACAAATGAGGCTCCACACTGCTTCCAGAAGCTCAGAGTCCAGAGGTGAGAACCCGGTGGAGAACAGATGGGATTATATGGACATGGTACTGATAACACCGGAAGCCTTAGGCAAGAAAAGAGTCCCATTACCTAAACCATGAGGGCAGACATGTTTATTTGAAGGAGGGAAAACTACATTGAAATTATTTTAAAAAATATATAAGTTTTACTGCTGACAGAAGGCTGAAAGCTAGTCTGAGGGGAGGTGGAACAGCATGAGGGAAGGTGGAACAGCACGTGTCTAAGTGCCGTGTTAAGAGGGAGCCTCTTGTATGTTTGGAATTGTGAGTTCCTCAGTGTGATTGCAGCCTCAAGTAGACTAGGAAGTAAGCCAGTTAGGTTGGAGAGGTGGGCAGGGGTCAAGTGAAATGGAGAATTGTGGGCTAAGCAAAGGAGTGTGTTTTCTCTCCAGCAGGCAGTGGGGACCTTAGACATTTGTAAGCAAGGGAGAGGCACGTTCAGATTTGTGGTGTGAGGAAGAGCGATGCCCTAAGATGCAGACTCACGCCTTCAGATTCCAGCTGCTGGTACATTGGAGCTGGCAACCCAGTTTTGAGACAGGGCTGTTGTCTCCCTAGAAGATCCCCTCAAGGCCTGACTGTGGTGCTCATGGGCAGGAGACAACTTTGGATCAGGGCTCAGCATTTGGAAGTTCCGTGTACACGATGATATCTGTTGGGGGTGTCTTGGGCCTCTGAGAAGGGCGAGTGATTTTTCTCTGTGTGAAAACGCAGTGATTCAACTGTGCATATGTCACCTCCTGAGGGTCTTGTTCATCAGAGTCCTGGAGAGAGGGAAATGCTGAGTGAGGGAGGGTGCTCACATTTTCCAGGACTCTTTGGGAATAACACTAGCCACGAGGCTGGGCCGAGGAGCACCTACCTCCCTGTTCACTGTTCTGTTCCCTGCAGGCTCTTGGTCCATTACAACAGCATCTGTAGAAGACGGAAGTCAACAAAACAGCTCAGAGGGCACTTCTGGGCCCTCATTTCATAAGCAGATACCAACATACAGGGGGAGACCATAGGAGCCTGAGGTCCCTCAGTTGCCAACAGCAGACTCAGACATTCTATCTCTCTGAGCTCAAGGACCCATCCCATGAATAGCTCTGAGTTCCCATCCCATTGATTCTGTCTCCCACTTTCTGCCTGTCATGGAACCTTCTCCTGGATGTGAGTGGCTGCAGGGGACATGAGGATACAGTTCAGAATCAGGCAATGGTCTGTGAGCTGAAGGCAGGGACAGGGAGTCTGGTGCTCTCTCTAGAAAGTCCTCCCTCTGTGGCTGCTGCCTTGGGCCAGGGACCATCCTGTCTGTGAGGAACACACACCTGAGTGCTCCCATCCTGCTTCCCCACATGGCCCTGAGCTCTCTGGCCTCTGCTTCGTGAGACTTACTTTTTTTGTTGCAGCACCAGCGATGAAGGAGAAAGAAGAGGAGGAGGATGAAGAGGATGATGACCACTGAGGTCCCAATCAGAACATGCAGGTGTCTGGGGTTACCTGGAAGAAGAGGAGACACCAATAAGAAGCTAATCATAGCAGTTCCTCTTTATGAATTGTCTCACATTTCTTGATTGACAGGTAACCACATACAACACCCCTTTAGGACAAGCACCCAGATGGAGGGAGACCCAGCTTTCTCCTGCTTTCTCAGTTATAGCTCTCATAGTAACCATAGAACGTGTTGAGGATACAACTACTTTAGTTGAGATGTTTGACCCCTTCAAACCTCACATTGAAATTTCACCCCCACTGTGAGAGGTTGGGCCTCTTGAGAGGTGTTTGGGTCATGGAGGTGGATCCATCATGAACAGACCAATGCTGTCCCAAGGAGACGGGGTTAGCAAGTTCCCCTTCTATTAGTTCCTGGAGAGCTGGTTGTTCAAAAGAGCTTGGAAGCTCCATCGCTCCCCCTCCCCCTTGCTCCCTCTCTTGCCGTGTGATCTCTGTGGTCTCTGCACAGACAGACCCTCCTTCCCTTCTGCCAGAGTGGGAGCAGCCTGAGGCCGTCACGAGAAATAGATGCTGGTGCCACGCTTCCAGTACAGCCTGCAGAACTGTGAGGCAAACCAATCTCTTTTCTCTAGAAGTTACCCAGGCTCAAGTGTTCCTTTAGAGCAACAAAAATGGACTAAGACAGCAACGTCCTGAGATCAGGAGGAACGTCTCAGAACAGCCTGGGCTGTCTTCCTGTTCTTCCTGGAGGAGGACGTCATGCAGTGCTTTAGCTGAGTGCTTCCTGTGGCTCCACAGTACAAAACCCAGGCTGGGCTGCTCTCTGGCTTCCCCCAGCTACACTGCAAATGGGGTGACTCCATATGTCCCGAGTAGCTTTTCTGAGCCTTGAGGGACTGGCTCACATTGAAATGTAGGTTTCTGTTGTCACTCGCTGCTTATCTGTTAGTAATGAACCTGCCTGTGTAATGTATTCTCTGTGTGTTCTGTCTCCCTGGAGTGACGGTGAGTGATAGGAATTGGCATAAGCCCAGGTGCAGTCCAGGAGGTATTTAGAGTCTTCTCTGGGAAGACTGCACTGGGATTGATACACAGCGAATGTGCTTTAGGATTTCTACATCCACAGCATTCTTGAATCAAACAACTTGCATTCTCCAAGAAAAGGAAACAAAAGTGAAATCAAGATAAAAAAAGCTAAGTAGAATTCTCTTATGTCAAATGGCCAGGAAATAGTGTTGAAGCCCGTGTGAAACGTGCTACTCTTTGTGATCTCGGGAGACACATGTTAGGCTGCTGTTCTACCCGAGAGGCTGGGGGAAGGACCACCCCCTCGGCCATCTATTGCTTCAATACCACCTGTCCTCCTGTGAATTAGTAGGAAAGGGGAGCAGGAGCTAGTGCTGGCACTGATCTCTGATTCCAAGATCTGGACTCACTCCAAGGAGTATCAATGTTTACCTCCCCATAGCCTATCTGAATCTCCACAGGTGATTGGAAGTAGGGGTGAGGTGGGGGATTTGGGTGAGTGGGCAAGTTTTTTGTTGCGATGAACAGAGCACTTTCTCTATTCCACGATCTGTGCTGGAGGATTCTGAGGGCTTTCACATTTTCTATGTGATCTCATTCTCACAGAAAGCCAAATAGGGAAGAGGTTTTAAGCTCATTGCCTAATGGATAAGATAAAGGATCAAAGAAGTAATTATAGAGAAATAGAAAAACGATGATTGGAATTCAGGTGCCTTTGTCATTCGTGTGTGTTTTATTATATTTATGTATTTCTTATTTTTATTTTTTGAGATAGAGTCTCCTTGTGTCCCCCAGGCTGGAGTGCAGTGATGCAATCTCCACTCACTGCAACCTCCACCTACTGGGTTGAAGTCATTCTCCTGCTTCATCCTCCAGAATAGGAGCTGGGATTACAGGGATGCACCATCGTGCTCGGCTAATTTTTGTATTTTTAGTAGAGATAGGGTTTCACCACGTTGGCCAGGCTGGTCTGGAACTCCTGACTTCATGGAATCCACCCACCTTGGCCTCCTGCAGTGCTAGGTTACAGGCGTGAGCCACTGTTCACAGACTTGTATATTATGCTATAATAAGTCTCTTCATTTCCACCACCACTCATATATCTGTCACTCCTTTGCCAGGTATTGATTTATGTGTAGGATGAATAAATCTCAGAAAGAAATTAATTAAGCGAGGATTAAACAAGTAGGAAAATCAAACCCAGTAAGCGTTTCCAGTCAATGATTCTACCTCACAAACATATCTTATATCCATCTACTTCATTCATTTAGTGTCTAAATCAGCACCACATTTCACCAGTGGGGTGGCAATTGCCTTTTCCACGGTCTCCTAGATTCCAGTTATGCAACTGAGCCTCCCTTATTTTCATGTCAGTCATATTAATCATGTAGGGATTCCTGGTTACCCCGAGGTGAATCCAATGGCTGTGAGTGTCAAACACACACTCCTTGTTGCTCCTTAGTTTCCTGTGTACCCAGTGTGCTCTCCGTCTCTCTACAGTCGTCTTGTCATTCTCCCCACATCATTCCCAGCATTTGAGGCAGAGCCTCTTCCTTCCACATCAGATTGTTTTCACCTTTGTGCCTTCACGGCTGACAGCTGTGTGTGCAAAATCCTTCCGCCAATCTTTCAGGGGTTCAATCCGTGTTTTTCATTAATGTCACAAATATCTGAATAGTGAGACCTTCTTTGTCACCTGAAATCATACACTCAGCATTATCTATTATTGATTTTGAATTCTGGCTGGGCACAGTGGCTCACGCCTGTAGTCCCATTACTTTGGCATGCTGAGACGGTCGGATCACTTGAGGTTGGGAGTTTCAGACAAGCTTGGCCAACGTGGTGAAACATCCTCTCTACAAAAAATATACAAAAAGAATTAGCCGGGCACGGTGGCAGTTGCCTGTAATCCCAGCTACTCGAGAGGCGGAGGCAGGAGAATCACTTGAATCCAGGAGACGCAGGTTGCAGTGAGCCAAGATCGTGACACTGCACTGTAGCCTGGAAGACAGAGGGCGACTCTGTCTCAATAAACAAAAGAACAAACAAAAAATAGATTTCATGCACAGATGCTTCCCAATGGATCATTCATTTATAGATCCACTTGTGCATTCATTTTCTGCCCTCCCATTTAACCATCTGCAATATCAGTGTCCCAAGGGCAGAAGCCAAATGCATCTTGTTCACCGTTTGTGGAAGGCAGGAGAATGCTGTCCCACCCCAAAATGTCCCTGTCCTAGCCTCCATAGCTTGTGAATATGTTATTTTACATGGAAAGGAGGAATGAAGATTGTAGATGGAATTGCGGTTGCTAATCAGCTGAACTTAAAACAAGGGTATCCTGGATGATTTCCAGGAGATTATGAGGGATTTTCATCTTGGTGAACCCAATAGAATCCCCAAGTTTTCAAAAGATAAGGAAGAAGGGAGAGCAGCATTCAGAGAAAGAGGTGTGGTAAGGAAGAAGGCACTGAGTGATGCCATGTGAGATGTGACCAGTCTTTGTGGGCTTTGAGGAAGGAGGAAGGGGAACAGGAGCCAAGGAACTGGGAGCCTTTAGAAGCTGGGATAAGTGAGAAGCAGATTCTTGCCTGGAATCCTCAGAGGGAAGGCAGCCTTGCTGTCACCTTGATTTTAGCCCAGTAAGATGCACTTCCTACTTTGAGCTACAGCACTGTAAGATAATTAAAAAACCGTTTTGTTTTCACCCACGAATCTTGTGGAAATTTGTTATGGCAACAATAGGAAAAGGTTCCGCACTGCACAGCCTGAGCATGGGGCCGTGGCTGAATGAGTCAGTGAGTCGAAGTGTGCGTGCATGAGCTCCGTTCTCTGTTACGGCAAGGCTGTTGCTCTGCTGAGTCAGCCAGGGTTGCTTCATGACCAACAGTAATTCATTCCTTGGCAAGTGGAACTTCTCTAAAACACCTCGCCCTCATCAGATGTTCCCTTCCCTTCCCTCTCTCAAGCCCCCAGGAATTTATCCTCCAGTTAGGAATGCAGGCAGAACAAACATTGCATTTTTCCTGAGAAGGATGTCAGATTGGCAATCATTCTTCTAGCTTGTAGGAGGTCTCAGCTCCATAAAATGAGAGATTAAGAGATTTCACTGAGCCCTAGGTTGGGCCCAGATCCCTTTCGCTGTTGGAGTATCTGGAGTTCGGAGATGGTAGAAGACAGGCGTACAATGTCAGAGCTGCGAGATGCTGAGTCAATGCCTGCATCGAAGGTTTCTACCTCCCCAGGTTTCCAAAAGCGGATATAAGAGGGTTCTGTACTCACCGGTTTCGGAGCTTGGTTCAGTGGGTGAAGGCCAACTATTTGAAGGGTTTCCTAGAACACGAGACAGGAGAGAGGTGAGGAAATGAGGGTGTCTGTCCTCTACTCAATGGAAATCTTTGAGGTTGGTTCATGGCCAACACTCTGTTATCTAATATTGGGCCCTGGGAGTCCTGGGATCCTTTTTTCCGTAATTTTTGTATGTGACGCCCACTGTCTTGAGACTTCAAGGTATAAAGAGAAAACAGGAGCATCACACTACCTGATCTCAAAATATGTTACAGAGCTGTAGTAAGCAAAACAGCATCACATTGGCATAAAGAAAGGCACGTAGAACAATGGAGCAGAATGAAGAACACAGATATAATCCATGCATTTACCTCCAATGTTTTTTTCTTTTTTCTTTTGAGATGGAGTCTCGCTCTGTCACCCAGGCTGGAGTGCAGAGGTGCAATCTCGGTTCACTGCCACCACAGCCTCCTGGGTTCAATCAATTCTCTGGCCTCAAACTCCTGAGTAGTGGTATTACAGGTGCTGACCACCATGCTCAGCTAATTTTTATATTTTTAGTGGAGACAATGTTTCATCACGTCGGCCAGACTAATCTTGAACTCCTGGCCTCAGGTGATCCACCCGCCTTGGGCTCCCAAAGTGCTGAAATTGCAGGTGTCAGCCACCATGCCCAGCCCATCCAATGGACTTTGACAAAGGTGCCAAGAACTCACAATCAGGAAAGGACAGTCTTTTCAATAAACAGTGCAGGGAAACCTGGACATCTACATGCAGAGGAATGAAACTGCACCTCTACCTGTCACTATACACAAAACTCAAATGAAAATGGATTAAAGATGTGAGTCTAAGGCCTGAACCTATGAAACACGTAGAAGAAAATATTGGGGAAATGCTCCAGGACATTTGTCTGAAGGAAGACATTTTGTTTTAAACCTTCAAAACACAAGTAATCGAAGCAAAAATAGACCATTGGGATTACCTCAAACTAAGCAACTTCTGCACCGCTAAAAATAAACCAACAAAGTGAAGAGACAACCCACAGATTGGGAGCAAATATGTGCAAACTATGCATCTGAGATGGGATTAATAACTAGAAATATAAGAAGCTCAAACAACTCAATAAAACAAACGATTTAATTGAAAAAGGAGCAAAACACATGAAATTTCCCCACATACTAAAAAGTGCTCAGTTTCACTCATCATCAGAGAAACACAAATTAAAATCAAAGTGAGTTTTCATCTCACCCCATTAAAATGGATTTTAGGCCGGGCGTGGTGGCTCACGTCTGTCATCCTAGACCTTTGAGAGCCTGAGGTGGGTGAACCTCATAAGGTCGGGAGTTTGAGACCAGTCTGACCCACATGAAGAAACACTGTCTCTACTAAAAATACAAAATTTAGTTGGGCGTGGTGGCGTGTGCCTGTAATTCCAGCTACTCGGGAGGCTGAGGCAGGAGAATCGCTTGAACCTGGGAGGTGGAGGTTGTGGTGAGCCGAGATCGCACCACTGCACTCCAGCCTGGGTGACAAGAGCGAAACTCCATCTCAAAATAAAATGAAATAAAATAAAATGGCTTTTAGCTGCAAGACAGGCAAAGGAAATCCTGCCAAAGTGGTAGAGAAAGGAGAACCCTAATACCCTGTTGGTAGGAGTGTAAATTAGTACAGCCTTTACGGAGAAAAGTGTGGAAGTCCTTTAAAGAACTAAAAAGAGGTTGGGTGAGGTGGATCATGCCTGTAATCCCGGCACTTTGGGAGACCGAGGCGGGCACCTCAGTTGAGGTCATGAGTTTGAGAGCAGCCCAGCCAACATGGGGAAACCCCATCTATACTAAAAAAAACAAAAAGTAGCCAGGCATGGTGGCGTGCACCTGTAATCCCAGCTACTAGGGAGGCTGAGGCAGGAAAATCATTTGAACCCAGGAGGCGGAGGTTGCAATGAGCCAAGATGACTTCACTTGTACTCCAGCCTGGGCACAGAGGGAAACTGTCTCAAAAACAAAAACAAAACAACAAACGAATAACTAAAAAGAGAACTTTCATAGTATCCAGCAATTTCACTACTGGGTTTATATCCAAAGGAAAGTAAATCAATATATCGAAGTGATATCTGCACTCGTATGATTGGTGCAGCACTGTTCACAGTAGCCAAGATGTGGAGTCAACCTACCTGCCCATCAGTGGATGAATGGATAGAGAGAATGTAGTACATACGCACAGTGGAGACTACTCATCCATAGAAAGAATAACATCCTGATATTTGCAGCCACATGGATGGAACTGGAAGTCATTACAAAGATTCCCATTTCTCACCCATATACAGAGCTAAAAGGTGGATCTCATGAAGGTAGAGAGTAGAATGGTGGCTTCCAGAGGCCAGGAATAAAAGGGTGGAGGGTAAAAAAAAAAAAAAAAAAATATATATATATATATATATATATATATATATATATATATATATGTTTATATATGTGTGTGTGTGTGTATATATATATATATATATATATATATAAATGTATTTATGACCACTAGACTTTACACTTAAAAATGGTAAATGTGGCTGGGCGTGGTGGCTCATGCCTGTAATCCCAGCACTTTGGGAGGCAGATGCGGGTGGATCACGTGGTCAGGAGTTGGAGACCAGCTCGACCAACATGGTGAAACCCCCTCTCTACTAAAAATACAAAAAGTAGCCTGGCGTGGTGGTGCGCGCCTGTAGCACCAGCTACTCAGGTGGCTGAAGCAGGAGAATCACTTGAACCCAGGAGGCGGAAGTTGCAGTGAGCTGAGATTGTGCCACTGCACTCCAGCATAGGGGACAGAGCTAGACTCTGCCTCAAAAAAAAAAAAAATGTTAAAGGTGGTAAGCTATATAGGTATATTTATCCTCAATAAATATTTCTTCAAACAAAAGTAAAGGGTGTAGGGGTTGCTGGTGATGACATCCCTGTGTGGGTGAGAGGCCAGGATGGGCTTCTGGGAAATGGGTAATGTTGAGGGGCTGAGGGAACCTCTGATCTTCCCAAACTGAGCCCAGTCTCTCTCCTCTGGGTCTCTCCTGACCGTTTTCTCCATCTGCCTGTGTGCCTGGAGCCCTGGCCGCGGGCCTTCATGCAGGCCGTGTAGGAGGGTTTGGAGGTGCCCTGTCTGCCATCCTGTGCCCTGATCCCTCCCTCACACCCAAGCTTCGTCTTCTCTCTGCATCTGTCCATGCTTCTCTCCATCATCAGCAGGAAGCTCCTCAGCTAAGGCTCTAGGATCATAGGACATGAGACAGATATGGGGTTTCCTCACCTGTGACAGAAACAAGCAGTGGGTCACTCGAGTTTGACCACTCGTATGGAGAGTCACGGAAAGAGCCGAAGCATCTGTAGGTTCCTCCGTGGGTGGCAGGGCCCAGAGGAAAGTCGGCCTGGAATGTTCCGTTGACCTTGGGCCCTGCAGAGAACCTACGTTCATGGGCCTCCCCCTCCCTGGATAGATGGTACATGTCATAGGAGCTCCGGGAGCTGCAGGACAAGGTCACGCTCTCTCCTGCCAGAACCGTGGGGCCCGGCTGGGCTGAGAGAGAAGGTTTCTCATATAGACCTGGAGGAGAAGAGGCATTTTCCTTACGGAGGATCTTCCTTGTCACAGCTCCCTTCACCTGAGCTGAGAACTCACTCCCCTGCTCTATGACCTAATGCTCTCTCTCTCTCTCTCTCTCACCCTCCACCCCATCTCTCTTCATGTCTATTTCCTTCTTCCACCTTCTCTGTCTCTCTAGGTCTCTGACCTCGCTTCCCCACCTCTAGATATGTTTTCCCTTTTTGGATTCTTTTATTCTCTCTGACTCTCCTTGGATTGGTTGACTTGATGTTACTTTTTTAAATTCTAAGTTTCTCACGTTGTGTCCTGTTCATAACTTTCTGCATATTTCTATCTATTATCTGTCGATCTATCTATTTATCTATTCGGTGCCTATCTACAAATTCTCTACCTGTCATCTATATCTATATATCATCTATGTATCTATCACTTGTCTATCTATCCATCAATCATCTGTTATTTATATGTATGTATCATCTCTCTCTCTATGATTTCTGTCTGCCTCTCTATCTGTACGTATTATCTGTCTTCATCATCATCATCTCTATGTATTATCTATTAATGAATCAATCAATCATCATCTATGTATCTTTAACCTATTATCTATCATCTACCTATTTATCATCTATCTATATCTATCCATCTATCATCTGTCTTGCTCTGCCTCTCGGTCTCTCTAGTTCTCTTTGGAATCTCTGCAATTCATCCCCACATCTCCATGTTTCTATGTCCTTGTGCCTCTCTCTCAGGACTCTAATTTTAGTGCTTTTCTCTGCTCCCTGCCATCATTCTCACCACTCCTCTGCCCTCTTTTCTCTCTCTTTATGTGTCTGTGAGTCTCTCAATCTCCTTCCTCTGGCTCATTCTCTGTGTGTTTATGTCTTTGCTTTTTGGTGTTCCTGATTTTTCTCTGTGCCTCTCAGTGATCCTTTCATATGTGGGGTTATTTGGAATGTGAGCCACAGAATCCAGTCTGGAGACCACAAGTTCACACAGCATACAGGGGTTGGTGTTCTGGGGCCATGATATCCTGGGACGATTACTCTCCATTACATGGAAGGCAGAGGTGTCAGAATAAACATGGCCTGTAGGTGCCACAAGGCCTGAGGCCACAGGGCCCAACTCAGGTCATAAATATGGGTGTCCTTGGGTTCTCCTGGTAGAGAACACTTTGTGGAGGTAAAACAGAAATGAAACTTCTAACCTGTGCCAGGTCTGTGAGCAAAGTCAGCATGGAGGGACACCTCTCTCTGGGACATGTCTGTCTGTCTGTCTCTTTTAACTCTTTCTGTCTTTTCTAACTCCCTGTATGGCCCCTGTGTCTGTCCTCTGTTATGACACCTGGTCTGTACTTGTGTCTCCTGTTTCTCTGTCTCTGTTGGTACAAACCTCAGCAAGTCAGTCTCTCTCCATAAGAATACCAAGCTCATCTTCCTTACAACTACCTGGGGGTTCCAAGTCGTGGATCATTCACTCTGCATCCCAATGACAATGAGAATGTCCGGACACTCTCACCTGTGATGACGATGTCCAGAGGGTCACTGGGAGCTGACAACTGATAGGGGGAGTGAGTAACAGAACCGTAGCATCTGTAGGTCCCTGCAAGGTCTTGCATCATGGGACCGATGGAGAAGTTGGCCTTGGAGACCCCATCATGGTGCTCTCCAATGAGGTGCAAAGTGTCCTTAAACTTCCCTTCTCTGTGCAGAAGGAAGTGCTGAAACCTGACATCTGACCAACATTGCAGGATGACTGTCTCTTCTGATTTCACCAGGGGACCTGGGTGGGCCAGGAGGGAAGGTTTTCTGTGGACTCCTAGGAAGAGAGGTTGTGAGTTTAGAAGGTGTCTCTCTTTATCATCCCATCCATGGCACCTAGAATGAGTGAGGCTTCCCCTTGCTGGTGTCTGTCTCTCTCCTTCCTCTCTGTGTCTTCATGTTCTTTTCTGTGCCCTTAACTCCTGGTGCAGGTCCTTCCATCTGTCTCCCTCCCTCTTCTCTGTCCCTCTGTCTCTAGTAGCCTCTGATTCCCTTCCCACTGGGCTGAGCCTCATCTCTTGGGGTGTTGTATCTATTTCACACTAATGTATTTCCTGCTGTTTATGTGGGGGTGAAAGAGGAACCAGGATAGGCTGCACATCCAGGCTCTTATCAGCCTGGTTCAATCTCTTTTGGATGAATTGCAATCCTTGGCAGAAGGTATGAACTGATGAATAAGGCAGGCACCAGTGTCCACACACCCTGTTCCTGGTGGGGACTGGGAGCCACTCTTGCCATGCCTGTGCCTTCTCCATGGTGCCAGCTTCCATAGGCTGGCTCCTGGTGCTGGTTGGAGGAGTATCAACCCCTCCCTATGTGGATGGAGCCTGGTGGTGGCATCATCATCCCACCCTTGCTGATCTCAGGGTAGCCAACCTTCTCCTTGTTTGGTTTCTTTAATTAATTAATTAATTATGGAGACAGAGTCTCACTCCTTCACCCAGGCTGGAGTGAAGTGGTGTGGTCTAGGCTCACTGCAACCTCTGTCTCCTGGGTTCAAGTGATTCTCCTGCCCTCAGCCTCCTGAGTCGCTAGGATTACATGCACCTGCCACCATGCCTGGCTTTCCTTGGGTTGTTTCTTAACTTGTCCTTGACCTGGGTTCCAGTGTTGGTTTCCTGTTGCTGCTGTAGAAAATTATCAGAAGCATGGCAGCAGGAGAGACCACACTGACACCTTCCAGTACTGGAGACAGAAATTGGACCCTATTTTTCCTGGGCTAAAATCAAGGCATCTGCAGGGCTTTGTTCCCTCTGGAGACTCTGGAGAATCAGTTCCTTGACTTTTCCAGCCTCTATAGGCCACCTGCATTCATGGATCTTGGCCTTCCTCCACCTTCAAAGCTGGTGAAGACTTCCACTGGACTGCTCTAATCCCCACTCCCCTCTTCCTCCTCCTTTCATGTGCACCCTTGTGATTACACTGAGCCCAGTGGGACAGTCCAGGCTGTCTCCCCATGAGCTCCATCTTCCCCTTCAGTCCCTTCCCCTATAACATAAATAGTCACAGACTCCAGGGATTAGAATGTAGTCATCACTGGGGACAATTATTCTTCCCACCACAGCACCCATTTCCCTGTATTCAATCCCCCTTTACCACAAATACAGTCAGGGCCTGCGTGATGGGACCCTCAAGGACATGCCCAACAGAAGCTCTGGGATTCAGGAGGTGGGACAAGGAGAATCCAAGACAGGAGCCCTCTGACCTATGACCACGATCACCAGGGGGTTGCTGGGTGCTGACCACCCACTGGGGGAGTGTGTGTGTGAACCCCGACATCTGTATGTCCCTGTGTGTGCGGGGGTCACAGGGCCCATGAAAAGGCTGTTCCAGAATATTCTGTTGTAGAGCTCAGGGACAGGCACCCCACCTTCCTTTTACAGACTGAAGTTGTTAAACCCAAGATAAGAGTGACACCG
The DNA here is from genome assembly GCF_000001405.40 of Homo sapiens. Classification (NCBI taxonomy): domain Eukaryota; kingdom Metazoa; phylum Chordata; class Mammalia; order Primates; family Hominidae; genus Homo; species Homo sapiens. The sequence continues at coordinate 41,939 of NW_016107304.1, read as the reverse complement.
AAGAATGACATGTCCTAGAGGCACCACAAGGCTGGGCCAGGCAGACAGCAAGGGCTTGTCCTGACCACCTTGGGGAGAAGGAGGCGCCGCCTTAGAGAGGAGGATGTGGAACTGCCCTTCCCTCCCTGTGCTCAGAAGATTCTCCTCGCTTTCCACGTTTCTATGGCTACTATCACACCTTGGTGCCCAGGGCTGAAGGAAGGACCCATCCCGCAAAGACATGGTGTCTCCCTACAACAAAAGCCTCAGCTGAGAACTTTGAGCAAGTGCTGAGTAAAGAGACTCCTACTAGATTTTAATACTGTAAGATTACTCACATAAAACAACACAGGGTAGACATGAGGTGGAGGGCATGTCCTTTGTGAATGGATATCAGCGGATGCCTGAACGAAAATAAACAACTGAGCCCCCATCAGAGGATTTGGAATGTCAGGGCCATGGCTGTGGTTTCCCACCTCTTCTGGTAGAATGACAGCAGCCACACTGCAGCCCCTACCATCATGGAAACGCTGAAGTGTGTGAGTAACACCTTTGTCCTCAGAGGATCTGCTGTTCCTACCACTTCCCAACCACACACCCCAGCTTTGAGCACCCCAGTCTAACCCTGGTCCCCACAGAACTTGACTCTGCCAAGGGGTTGAGAGGCCAGGGAGGCGAGGTCAGAAATGTGGGCTGAGCACCCCAGGGTCCTCTCTTCCTAGTTTATGAGAGACTCCCCGACAGGACTTCCCTCCTGTTTCAGGAAAATCCTCTTATGTGGGGAGATGACACCCGAAGGTTTGGAGAAGGACTCACCCTCATGTGGCCAGGCCCCCTGCAGCAAGAAGAACCCTGGAAAGAAAGATCATGATGGACCATCCATCTGCAGGCAAACCAGGCCTCCCTTGCTGCCCCCACTGGGCTGTGAGTCTTGGCAGCCAGGCCCTTCCTGGGCTGAAGTTAAACTCACCCTCAGTGCCTACCTGCACCCAAGAACAGGGCTGTCGGCTGTGCAGAGACCCAGTTTCCAGGCCCATATCCCCACCCCAAGCCCATATCTCCACTCCAGGCTGATATTTCCACCCTAGGCCCATATCGCCAATCCAGGCTCAGATCTCCACCCTAGGCCCCTATCTCCAATCCAGTCCCATATCTCCGCCCCAGGCCCAGATCTCCACCCTAAGCCCATATCTCCACTCCAGGCCCATATCACCTCTCCAGTCCCATATCTCCACACCCAGGCCCATATCTCCTTCCTAGGCCCATATCTCCACTCCAGGCCCAGATATCCATCTCTAGGCCCATAACTCCACTCCTGGCCCATATCTCCACTCCAGGCCCATATCTCTACTGCAGGCCCGTATCTCCACCTCCAGACCCATATCTCCACTCCAGGCCCATATCTCCACCTCCAGGCCCATATCTCCACCTCCAGGCCCATATCTCCACTCCAGGCCCATATCTCCACTCCAGGCCCCTATCTCTACTGCAGGCCCATATCTCCATCTCCAGGCCCATATCTCCATCTCCAGGCCCATGTCTCCACTACAAGCCCATATCTCTACTGCAGGCCCATATCTCAACCTCCAGGCCCATATCTCCACTCCAGGCCCAGATCTCCACTCCAGGCCCAGATCTCCACTTCTAGGCCCATCACTCCATCTCTAGGCCCATAACTCCACTTCCAGGCCTATATCTCCAACTCTGGGCCCCGATCTCCATCCCCGCACTCCCTCCCTCGATGCCCTTCCAGGACTCACCAACACACACCATGCTGACGACCATGAGCGACATGGTGCTGTCTGTGCAGACAGGCGGCCGCGCCCCAGCTCAGCTCAGCAGCGCACAGGATGTTATTTGGCGCCCTGCCCATGCAGTTTACATGTTGACCACATCATGGGAGGGTGACGTACGCAGGCTCTTTCTACCTTGCATGAGGCCCAGTGGGTGCTCGCTCAAGAGCGGAACATGGCTTCCTGGAAATTGTTCTCACTAGAATTGACACCTTGCGTCCTTCACTACGACCAGACTCAAAAGACGTCTCAGATCCAACCTCTCATACACGAGATGATTGAATTCTGTGCTTACATTAAAGATTTTTGATGTATTTTTGTTTTTATCTGAGATTCAAACTCTTCTTCATATGTAATGTGCAAAATGTCTAACAGGTATTATTAACATTATCAGAGTAATTGTGACAAGAAGCCATTCTAATTTTCCTGCTTGAGTTTCTACTACTAAACCAGAGGCATCAGAATAGCTTGAACCTGGGAGACGGAGGTTGCAGTGAGCTGAGCTCAAGCCACTGAACTCCAGCTTGGGTGACAGAGGAAGAGTCTGTCTCAAGAAAAAAAAAAAAAGCAAACTAAATAACCTATAATAACAAATCAGAGGACTCAGGTTACCAAATTTTAAGGGGTTCTATAAGTTTATATAAAATGCAGCATCCTCATGAGAGGGGATACAGAGAACCACTGGACAGAAAACTGTGTCTAAAATACATCTGTGGATACACAGTCCCTTTATAGTTGACAAAGGCTGCCATGTAGTTTAAGGTGGAATAGAATATTTTCTCAACAAATAACACAGGACCATAGGGTTACACGTAGGAAAAAATAAATCTAAACTTATCCTCACACTATAAAAACACTTCTTATTTTTTATCTTGTTGTTGTAAATTTTTTATGCTTTATTTTTAAGATTGACAAATAAAAATTATATACCATGGTCCTTCACTATACCTGGGTGATTGGTTCCAGGATCCCCATTCAGATACCAAAATCTGCAGATGCTCAAGCCCCTTGCATGAAATGGCATAGTGAAGCTGGGCACCGTGGCTCACGCCTGTAATCCCAGCACTTTGGGAGGCTGAGCTGGGTAGATCACAAGGTCAGGAGTTCAAGACCAGCTGGTCCAACATTCTGAAACCCCATCTCTACTAAAAATATACACACAAAAAAATTTATCTGTGCAGGGTGGCACGTGCCTGTAATCCTAGGGGAGGCTACTGGGGAGGCTGAGGGAAGAGAATCGCTTGAACCTGGAAGGCGGAGGTTGCAGTGAGTTGAGATCACGCCACTGCACTCCAGCCTGGGTGAGAGAGTGAGACTGTCTCAAAAAAAAAAAAAATAGCATAGCAATTGCATAGAACCCATGCACATCCTCCTGTATACATGAAATCATCTCTTGATTACTTATAATTCCTGACACAGCCTACACGCCACTCAATTTGTGTCGATTCAACATAGTTTTTTGCTTTTTGAAACTTCGGGGATTTTTTTTCTCAAAATATTTTTGATTTATTGCTGATTCAATAAACATGTGTAAACCCCAGAGATATGGAGGAGTGACTGTCTATTTATAGTAGTATGAAAGATGATGTGTTGATACGTGTCCCTGTGGAGATGAGACTAACAAGGCCTATGACTCTACAAATGTTTCATCGTGGAATGACTCTGCCAGCTTTCCAGATCTGCAGAGAGTAAGAATATCACTTGTTCATCTGATTCACCATCCTTGGAACCTCCTATGTGCTGCATCTTTGGATGGAAATTGGAGTCTCAGAGACAATTCAGGCTCCACCCTGCTTCCAGAAGCTCAGAGTCCAGGGGTGAGAACCCAGCGGAGAACAGATGGGGTTATGTGGACGTGGTAATGATAACACCGGAAGCCTTAGGCAAGAAAAGAGTCCCATTGACGAAACCATGAGGGCAGACATGTTTACTTGAAGAAGAGAAAACTACATTGAAATTATAAAAAAAATTTATAAGTTTTACTGCTGACAGAAGGCTGAAAGATACTCTGAGGAAAGGTGGAATAGCACGTATCTAAGTGCCGTGTTAAGAGGGAGCCTCTTATATGTTTGGAATTGTGAGTTCCTCAGTGTGATCGCAGCCTCAAGTAGACTAGGAAGTAAGCCAGTTAGGTTGGAGAGGTGGGCAGGGGTCAAGTGAAATGGAGAATTGTGGGCTAAGCAAGTGTGTTTTCTCTCCAGCAGGCAGTGGGGACCTTAGACATTTGTAAGCAAGAGAGAGGCATGTTCAGATTCGTGGTGTGAGGAAGAGCGATGCCCTAAGATGCAGACTCACGCCTTCAGAGTCCAGCTGCTGGTACATGGGAGCTGGCAACCCGGTTTTGAGACAGGGCTATTGTCTCCCTAGAAGATCCCATCAAGGCCTGACTGTGGTGCTAGTGGACAGAAGACAACTTTGGATCTGCGCTCAGCATTTGGAAGTTCCGTGTTACACGCTGGTATCTGTTGGGGGTGTCTTGGGCCTCTGAGAAGGGCGAGTGATTTTTCTCTGTGTGAAAACGCAGTGATTCAACTGTGCGTATGTCACCTCCTGAGGGTCTTGTTCATCAGAGTCCTGGAGGGAGGGAAATGCTGAGTGAGGGAGGGTGCTCACATTTTCCAGGACTCTTTGGGAATAAGACTAGCCACGAGGCTGGGCGGAGGAGCACCTACCTCCCTGTTCACTGTTCTGTTCCCTGCAGGCTCTTGGTCCATTACAACAGCATCTGTAGAAGACGGAAGTCGTCAAAACAGCTCGGAGGGCACTTCTGGGTCCTCATTTCATAAGCAGATACCAACATACAGGGGGAGGCCATAGGTGCCTGAGGTCCCTCAGTTGCCAACAGCAGACTCAGACATTCTATCTCTCTGAGCTCAAGGATCCATCCCATGTATAGCTCTGAGTTCCCATCCTATTGATTCTGTGTCCCACTTTCTGCCTGTCATGGAACCTTCTCCTGGATGTGAGTGGCTGCAGGGGATGTGAGGATACGGTTCAGAATCAGGCAATGGTCTGTGAGCTGAAGGCAGAGGCAGGGAGTCTGGTGCTCTCTCTAGAAAGTCCTGCCTCTGTGGCTCCTGCCTTGGGCCAGGGACCATCCTGCCTGTGAGGAACACACACCTGAGTGCTCCCATCCTGCTTCCCCACATGGCCCTGAGCTCTCTGGCTTCTGCTTCGTGAGACTTACTCTTTTTGTTGGCACACCAGCGATGAAGGAGAAAGAAGAGGAGGATAGCAAAGGGGATGATGACCACTGAGGTCCAATCAGAACATGCAGGTGTCTGGAGTTACCTGGAGGAAGACAAGACACCAATAAGAAGCTAATCATAGCAGTTCCTCTATATGAATTGTCTCACATTTCTTGATTGACAGGTAACCACATACAACGTCTCTTTAGGACAAGCACCCAGATGGCGGGAGACCTAGCTTCCTCCTGCTTTCTCAGTTGTAGTAACCATAGAACGTGCTGAGGATACAACTGCTTTAGTTTAGATGTTTGACCCCTTCAAACCTCACATTGAAATGTAACCCCCAGAGTGGGAGGTTGGGCCTCTTGGGAGTTGTTTGGGTCATGGAGGTGGATCCATCATGAACAGATCAATGCTGTTCCAAGGAGACGGGGTTAGCAAGTTCCCCCTCTATTAGTTCCTGGAGAACTGGTTGTTAAAAGAGCTTGGAAGCTCCATCGCTCCCCCTCCCCCTTGGTCCCTCTCTTGCCGTGTGATCTCTGTGGTCTCTGCACAGACAGACCCTCCTTCCCTTCTGCCAGAGTGGGAGCAGCCTGAGGCCGTCACAAGAAATAGATGCTGGTGCCATGCTTCCAGTACAGCCTGCAGAACTGTGAGGCAAACACATTTCTTGTCTTTAGAAGTTACCCAGGCTCAAGTGTTCCTTTAGAGCAACAAAAATGGACTAAGACAGCAACGTCCTGAGATCAGGAGGAACATCCCAGAACAGCCTGGGCTGTCTTCCTGTTCTTCCTGGAGGAGGACGTCATGCAGTGCTTTAGCTGAGTGCTTCCTGTGGCTCCAGGGTACAAAACCCAGGCTGGGCTGCTTTTTGATTTCCCCCAGATACACTGCATATGGGGTGACTCCACATGTCTCGAGCAGCTTTTCTGAGCCTTGAGGGACTGGCTCACATTGAAATGTAGGTTTCTGTTGTCACTCGCTGCTTATCTGTTAGTAATGAACCTGCCTGTGTAATGTGTTCTCTGTGTGTTCTGTCTCCCTGGAGTGACGGTGAGTGATAGGAATTGGTATAGGCCCAGGTGCATTCCAGGAGGTGTTTAGAATCTTCTCTGGGAAGACTGGATTGGGATTGATACACAGCGAATGTGCTTTACAGTTTCTACCACCACAACCCTCTTGACTCAAAAAAATTACATTCTCCAAGAAAAGAAAGAAAAAATGAAATCAAGATAAAAAAAGTGAAGTAGAACTGACTTAAATCAAACAGCCATGAAATAATGATGTAGCCCAGGAACAACATGCTACTTTTTGTGATCTGCTGAGACATATATTAGGCTGCTATTCCACCCGAGAAGCACGGGGAAGGACCGCCCTCTCCGTCGTTTATTGTTTCAATACAGCCTGTCCTTCTGTGAGTTAGTACGAAATGTGACCAGGGGCTAGTGCTGGCACTGGTCTCTGAGTCCAAGATCTGAGCTCACTCCAAAGAGTATTAGTGTTTACCTCCCCATGATCTATCTGTATCTCCATAGGTGATTGGAAGTAGAGATGAATTGGGGGATTTGGGTGAAGGGGCAAGTTTTATGCCATGAACAGAGCACGTTCTCTATTCCAGGACCTGTGCTGGTGGGTTCAGGAGGCTTTCACATTTTCCATATGATCCCAAGCTCACAGAAAGCCAAATAAGGAAGAGGTTTAACCTGATTGTTTAATGGATAAGATAAAGGGTCAAAGAATTAAACACAGAGAAATAGAAAAATGATGGTTGGTATCCAGTTGCCTTTGTAATTTCTGTGTGTCATAATTATGTATGTTTTATTTTTATTTTTTGAGACAGAGTCCCCCTGTGTCAGGCTGGAGTGCAGTGATGCGATCTCAGTTCAACCTCTGCCTCCAGGGTTGAAGCCATTCTTCTGCTTCAGCCTCCCCAGTCGCTGGGATTACAGGCAGGTGCCAATGCACCAGGCTAATTTTTGTATTTTTAGTACAGACGGGGTTTCACCATGTTGGCCAGGCTGGTCTCAAACTCCTACCCTTAAGTGATCTACCCGCCTTGGCCTCCCAAAGTGTTGGGTTACAGGTGTGAGCCCCCATCCACAGTCTTGTATATTATATTATACTAGGTCCCTTCATTTGCACCACCCCTCATGTGTCTATCGCTCCTCTGCCAGGTATTGATTTAGATGTAGAAAAAAAACACATCTCAGAAAGAAATTAATGAAACAAGGATTAAACTACTAGGAAAAATCAAACCCAGCAAGCCCTCCCTGCAAATGATTCTACCTCACAAGCATAGCTTATATCCATCTTTCATTCATTTAGTGTGTAAATCAACCCTACGTTTCACCAGTGGGGCGGGAATTGCCTTTTCCACGGTCTCCTAGATTCCAGTTACGCACCTGGGCCTCCCTTATTTTCATGTCGGTCACTGTTAATCAGGTAGGGATTCCTAGTTAGCTCTGAGTTGAATCCAAGGGCTGTGAGTATCAAAAACATGCTCCTTGTTCCTCCTTAGTTTCCTGTGTACCCAGTGTGCTCTCCATCTCTCTACAGTTGTCTTGTCATTCTCCCCATCTCATTCCCAGCATTTGAGGCAGAGCCTCTTCCTTGAACTAAGAATGTTTCCACCTTTGTGCCTTCACGGCTGAGAGCTCAGTGTGGAAAATCCTTCCGCCAATCTTCCAAGGGTTGAATCCATTTTTTCCATTAAGGTCACAAATATTATCTGATCAGTGAGACCTTCTCTGTCACCTGAAATTATATACTCAGCATTATCTATTACTTATTTTAAATCCTGGCTGGGCGCAGTAGCTCTCGCCTGTAATCTTTGCACTTAGGGACGCTAAGGCGGTGGGATCACTTGAGATTGGGAGTTTGAGACAGCCTGCACAACATGGTGAAACCTCATTTCTACTAAAAAAATATACCAAAAAAATTAGCCGAGTGTGGTGGCGCACAGCTGTAATCCCAGCTACTCGGTAGGCTGAGGCAGGAGAATTGCATGAACCCAGGAGGCAGAGGTTGCAATGAGCTGAGATTGTGCTACTGCACTCCAGCCTGTGGAACAGAGAGAGACTCTACTCAAAAAAAAAAAGAAAACAAAAAACACACACACACACAAAAAACCCCAGATTTGGTGCACAGATGCTTCCCAATGGATCATTCATTTATTGGTACCCTTGTGCATTCATTCTCTGCCCTCGCATTTACCCATCTGCAATATCAGCGTCCCAAGAGCAGAGGCCAAATGCATCCTGTTTACCATTTGTGGAAGGCAGGAGAATGCTGCCCCACCCCCAAAATGTCCCTGTCTTAGCCTCCATAGCTTGTGAATATGTTATTTTACAGGAAAGGAGGAATGAAGATTGCAGATGGCATTACGGTTGCTAATCAGCTGAACTTAAAAAGAGGGTACGCTGGATGATTTTAGGGAGATTGAGATGGATTATCTTGGTGACCCCAATAGAATCCCAAAGTCCTTAAAAGATGAGGAAGAAGGCAGAGCAGGATTCAGAGAAAAAGGTGTGGGTAAAGAAGAAGAGTCTGAATGATGCCATGTGAGACGTGACCAGCCTTTGTGGGCTTTGAGGAAGGAGGAAGGAGGAAGGGGACCAGGGGCCCAGGAACGTGGGAGCCTCTAGGAGCTGGGAAACGTTAAGGAGCAGATTCTTGCTTGGAACCTTAAAAAGAAATCCAGCCTTACTGTCCCTTTGATATCAGCCCAGTGAAATGCAGTTCATACTTCTGAGTTACAGCACTGTGAGATAATTAAGAAAAACATGTTTTCATCCACGAAGCTTGTGGAAATTTGTTATGGCAACAATAGGAAAAGATTCCACACTGCACAGCCTGAGCATGGGGCATTGGCTGAACGAGTGAGTGAGTGGAAGTGTCGTGTGCATAAATAAGCTAAATTCTCTCTTACTGCACGTCTCTTGCTCTGCTGAGTCAACCAGGGTTGCATCTGGTACACTGCTGATACGAATGTAAATTAGTACAGCCATTACAGAGGAGAAGAGTATGGAAGTTCCTCAAAAAATAAAATGAGGTCGGGCACAGTGGTTCATGCCTGTAATCCCAGCACATTGGGAGGCCGAGGTGGGTAGGTCACTTGAGGTCAGGAGTTGAAGAGCAGCCTGGCCAATATAGCGAAACTCTGTCTCTACTAAAAATATAAAAATTAGCCGAGTGTGGTGGTGGGAGCCAGTAACCCAGCTACTTGGGAGGCTGAGGCTGGGGAATCTCTTGAATCCTGGAGGTGGAGGTTGCAGTGAGCCCAGATGGCGCCACTGCACTCCAGCCTGGGCAACAAGAGTGAAACAGTCTAAAAAAAACAAAAACAAAAACAAAAACCATAAAACAAAATGTAAAAAGACACTTCCAGAGGATCTAGCAATTCCATGACTGGGTGTAAACCCAAAGGAAAGGACATCAGCGTATCGAAGTGACATCTGCACTCCCATGACTGTTCCAGCAGTGTTCACAGTAGCCAAGATGTGGATCAACCTACCTGCCCATCAGTGGGTGAATGGATGGAGAGAATGTGGTACACACACACAATAGGGACAACTCATCCATAGAAAGAGTAACATCCTGTCATTTACAGCCACATGAATGGAACTGGAGGTCATTACAAGTATTTCCATTTCTCACTCATATGCAGGAGCTAAAAGGTGGATCTCACAAAGGTAGAGAGTAGAATGGTGGCTACCAGAGGCCAGGAAGGGAAGGGTGGAGGGTAAAAAAAAAAGAATACTAATTAATTAATTAATTAATTTTGAGAGAGTGTCTCTCTCTGTTGCCCAGGCTGCAGTGCAGTGGCATGATCTCAGCTCACTGCAACCTCCGCCTCCTGCAATTAAGTGCAACTCCTGCCCAACCCTACCAAGTAGCTGGGACTACAGGCATGTGCCACCATGCTCGGCTAATTATTATCATTATAATTATTATTTTGTATTTTTAGTACAGATGGATTTTCCCCATGTTGGCCAGGGTGGTCTTGAGCCCCTGATCTCAAATGATCCACCTGCCTTGGCCTCTCAAAGTGTTGGGATTACAACCGTGAGCCACCGTGCCCAGCCTATAAATGTATTTATGAACAGTAGACTTCACACTTAAAAATGGTAAAGGTGGTAAATTACATAGGTATATTTCACCTCAATAAATATTTCTTCAAACAAAAAGAAAAGGGTGTAGGCGTTGCTGGTGATGACATCTCTCTGTGGGTGACAGGCCAGGATGGGCTTCTGGGAAGTGGGTAAGGTTGAGGGGCTGAGAGAACCTCTGATCTCCCCAGGCAGAGCCCAGTCTCCCTCCTCTGGGTCTGTTCTGACCTCTTTCTCCATCTGCCTGGGTGCCTGGAACCCTGATCAAGGGCATCCTTGCAGGCCATACAGGAGGGTTTGGAGGTGCCCTGTCTGCCATCCTGCGCCCTGACCCCGCCCTTACACCCATGCTGTGTGTTCTGTCTCGGCATCTGTCCATGCTTCTCTCCATCATCAGCAGGAAGCTCCTCAGCTATGGCTCTAGGATCACAAGACATGGGACAGGCATGGTGTTTTCTCACCTGTGACAGAAACGGGCAGTGGGTCACTCGGGTCTGACCACGCATGGGGCAGGGCACGGAAAGAGCCGAAGCATCTGTAGTTCCCTCCGTGGGTCACAGGGCCCAGAGGGAAGTTGGCCTGGAATGTTCCATTGACCCTCAGCACTGCAGTGAGCCTAAGTTCACCGGCCTCCGCCTCCCTGGATAGATGGTAAATGTCAAACAAGCTCCGGGAGCTGCAGGACAAGGTCACATTCTCTCCTGCCTGAACCGTGGGGCCCGGCTGGGCTGAGAGAGAAGGTTTCCCATATAGACCTGGAAGAAGAAGAGGTGGTTTCCTCAGGGAGGTTCTTCCTTGTCACAGCTCTCCTCACACCTGAGCTGAGAACTCACTCCCCTGCTCTATGACTTAATGCTCTCTTTCTCTCTCTCACCCTCCACCCCCATCTCTCTTCATGTCTATTTCCTCCTTCCACCTTCTCTGTCTCTCTAGGTCTCTGACCTCACTTCTCCATCCCTAGCTATGTTTTCTTTTTTTGTACCATTTTATTCTCTCTGACCCTCCTTGGACTGGTTGACTTGATCTTCCTCTTTCTTTAATTCTGAGTCTCTCACTTTCTGTCTTGCTCATAACTTTCTGCATATTTCTATCTATTATCTATTGATCGATCTATCATTTATCTATGTATGTATCTATCATCTATCATCATCTGTGTATCTATGACCTATCTCTCTGTTATCTATCATCTATCAATCAATGTATGTATGTATGCATCTATCCATCTATCATCATGTGTTTATCTGTCTTTCTATCTCTCTATATCTATTTATATATCATCTGTCTGTCTTTCTACTTGTCTATCTATATCATCTATCAGTCATTCATCATCTATTTGTCTATCACCTGTCTCTCTATTATCTATCATCTACCTTTTATCTTTCATCTATCTATATCTATCTGTCCATCTATCATCTGTCTCTCTCCATCTCCTTGTCTTTCTCTGCCTCTCAGTCTCTCTAGTTCCCTTTTGGAGTCTCTGCAATCCATCCTCACATCTTTATCTTTCCCTGTCTTTGTGCCCCTCCCTCAGGGCTCTGATTTTAGGGCTTTTCTCTGCTTCCTTCCATCATACGCTCCACTTCTCTGCCCTCTTTTTCTATCTCTTTATGTGTCTGTGAGTCTCTCAATTCCCTTCTTCTGGCTCATTCTGTGTGTGTGTTCATGTCTTTGCTTTTTGATTTCCCTGATTTCACTCCGTGTCTCTCTGTGGGCTTTTGTTCTCAGTAATCCTATAACATGTGGTGCTATTTGAATATGAGCCTCAGAATCCAGTATGGGGACTCCAGGAACTCACAGCATACAGGGGTTGGTGTTCTGCTCCCTCACCTGGGGCCATGGTGTCCTGGGACGATGACAGCTCCACTGCACGGAAGGCAGAGGTTTAAGAATAAACACAACATCTGTAGGTGCCACCAGCCTGGGGCCACATGGCCCAACTCAGGCCAGATAGATGTGTCTCTTTGGGTTCTCCTGGGAGAGAACACTTTGTAGAGGTAAAACAGAATGGAACCTTCTAACCTGTGCCTGGTCTCTGAACAAAGTCAGCATAGAAGGACACCTCTCTCTGGGATATGTCTGTCTCTCTGTGTCTTCTTTACCTCTTTATCTCTTTTTCTAACACCTTGTATGGCCCCTGTGTCTGGCTTCTATGTTATGACATGAGGTCTGTACTTGTGTCTCCTGTTTCTCTGCCTTTGTTGGTACAGACCTCACCAAGTCACTTTCTCTCCATAGGAACCCCACACTCATCTTCCTCATGACCACCTGGGGCTTCCAGTCCTAGATCATTCACTCCATCTCCCAGCAAGGGTGAGAGGCAGGTCTGTATTCTCTCACCTACGACCACGATGTCCAGAGGGTCACTGGGAGCCGACAACTCATAGGGTAAGTGAGTGACAGAACCAAAGCATCTGTAGGTCCCTGCAAGGGCAGGTGTCATGGGACCCATGGAATAGTTGACCTGGGAACCCGCATCGTGGAGCTGTCCAACGAGGCGCAAGGGGTCCTCAGTGATCCCCTCTCTGTGCAGAAGGAAGCGCTCAAACCTGACATCTGACCAACATTGCAGGATGACCGTCTCTCCTGATTTCACCAGGGGACCTGGGTGGGCCAGGAGGGAAGGTTTTCTGTGGACTCCTAAGAAGAGAGGTTGTGAGTTCAGAAGGCGTCTCCCTTTCTCATCCCATTCATGGGACCTGAAATAAGTGAGGCTTCCCCTCCATGGTGTCTATCTCTCTCCTTCCTGTCTGTGTCTCCGTGTTCTTTTGTGCCCATAACCCCTGTTGCAGGTCCCTCCATCTGTCTCCCTCCCTCTTCCCTGTCTCTCTGTCTCTAGTAGCCCTGATTCCCTTCCCACTGTGCTCAGTGTCACCTCTTAGGCTGTTGTATCTGTTTCCCACTAATCTCTTTCCTGGTGTTTATGTGGGGGTGGAAGAGGAACCATGACAGGCTGCATGTCCAGGCTCTTAGCAGCCTGAATCAATCTCTTTTGGACAGATTGGAAAGGCCGGCAGGAGGTACGAACTCATCAGTAAGGCAGGCATCAGTGTCCCTGTTCCTGATGGGGATTGGGAGCCTCTCCTTTCATGTCTGTGCCTTCTCCATGGCCCCAGCTTCCATAGGGTGGCCCCTGGTGCTGGTTCCAGGAGCATCAACCCCTCCCTATGTGGATCGAGCCTGGTGGTAGCATCAGTATCCCACCCATGCTAAAATCAGTGTAGCCAACCTTCTCCTTGTTTGGTTTCTTAACCTGTGCTTCACCTGGGTTCCTGTGTTGGTTTCCTGTTGCTGCTGGAGAAAATTGTCACAAACATGGGGCAGGAGAGAATACAATGACCTCTTCCACTTCTGGAGAACAGAAATCGGACCCAGTTCTCTCTGGGCTAAAATCAAGGCATCTGCAGGGCTGTGTTTCCTCTGGAGACTCAGGGAAGAATCAGTTCCCTTGACTTCTCCAGCCCTTAGAGGCCACCTGCCTTTGTGGCTCATGGCCTTCCCCCATCTTCAAAGCCCGCTGTGGCTGATGGAGTCTCCCTCCCACGACGTTGCTCTAACCCCACTTTCCTCTTCCTCCTCCTCTCATGAGGACCCTTGTGATTACTCTGAGCACAGCAGGACAGTCCAGGCTGTCTCCCCATCGCAAGGTCAACTCATCAACAACCTGAGCTCCATCTTCCTCTTCAGTCCCCTGCCCTATAACATAAATAGTCACAGGGTTCATGGATTACCATGTAGCCATCACTGGGGACAATTATTCTTCCCACCACAGCAACTATTTCTCTGTACTGAATCCCCCTTTACCCCAAATACAGTCGGGGCCTGGATGATTGGACCCTGATGGACGCCCCCACCAGAAGCTCTGGGATTCAGGAGGTGGGACAGTGAGAAGCCCAGACAGAAAGCCTCTGACCTGTGACCATGATCACCACAGGGTTGCTGGGTGCCGACCACCCAGTGGGGGAGTGTGGGTGTGAACTGCAACATCTGTAGGTCCCTGCATGTGCTGGGGTCACAGGGCCCATGAGAAAGCTGTTCCGGAATATTCTGTTGTAGAGCTCAGGGACAGGCATCCCGTCTTCTTTGGACAGACTGAATTCATTAAACCCAAGACGAGAGCGACACTGAAGAGTCACATGTTGTCCTTCAGACACCACAGTGCCGGGCCAGGCAGAGAGGAAGGGCTTGTCCTGACCACCTGGGGGAGAAGGAGGCACCACCTTAGAGAGGAGGATGTGGAGCCGCCCCTCCCTCCCTGTGCTCAGAAGATTCTCCCATTTCCACGTTTCTAAGGCTCCTACCACACCTGGGTGCCCAGGGCTACAGGAAGGACCCATCCCGCATAGACATGGCGTCTCCCTACAGCAAGTGTCAGCTGAGAACTTTGAGCAGGTGCTGAAGAAGCGACTCTTACTAGATTTTAACACTGCAAAATTACTTACATAAAAGAACACAAGGTAGACACAGGATGGAGGGCATGATCAGCTAATGCATGAACCATAATAAACAACTGAGCCCCTATTAGAAGATCTGGAATGTCAGGGTCATGACTGTGGTTCCCCCACCTCTTAGGTAGAATGACAGCAGCCACATTGCAGCCCCTACCGTCATGGAAACGCTGGAGGGTGTGAGTTATGCTCTTGTCCTCAGAGGCCTGTTGTTCCTTGCACTGCTTCTCTCCCTTCCTCTGCCGGTGACACCACTTCCTCCCTGCACACCACTCCTTTGAGCACTTCAGTCTCCCCCTGGGTCCCCACAGACTCAGCCAAGGGAAAGAAAGGCCGGGGAGGGCTAGGACAGAACTGTGGCGAAGCTTCCCCTGGCTTCCTTTTCCTAGTTCATGAGAGATTCCCACATGGCTTCCCATGGTCAGCCCATCAGTCAACCCCCTGTGTCGCCTGCCTCCCGTTTCAGGAGCATCATCTTATGTGGGGAGATGACAACCTAAGGTTTGGGGGAAGGACTCACCCACATGTGGCCAGGGCCCCTCCAGCAAGAAGAACCCTGGAAAGAAAGATCATGATGGATGATCCATCTGTACATCACCTCCAGGCCCATATCTCCACTCCAGGCCCATATCTCCACCTCTAGGCCCATATCTCCACTCCAGGCCTATATCTCCACCTCCGTCCTATATCTCTACTCCAGGCCCATATCTCCACTCCAGGCCTATATCTCCACCTCCGTCCTATATCTCTACTCCAGGCCCATATCTACACTCCAGGCCCATATCTCCACCTCCAGGCCTGTATCTCCACCTCCAGGCCCGTGTCTCCATTCCAGGCCCATATCTGCACTCCAAGCCAACATCTCCACTCCAGGCCCGTATCTCTACTCCAGGCCCATATCTACAGTTCCAGGCCCATATCTCCACCTCCAGGCCCATATCTCCACTCTAGGCCCATATCTCCACCTCCAGGCCCGTATCTCAATTCCAGGTCCATATCTGCACTCCAAGCCAATATCTCCACTCCAGGCCCATATCTACAGTTCCAGGCCCATATCTCTACTCCAGGCCCATATCTCTACTTCAGGCCCATATCTACAGTTCCAGGCCCATATCTCCACTCCAGGCCCATATCTCCACCCCAGGCCCATATCTCCACTCCAGGCCTATATCTCCACTCCAGGCCCATATCTCCACTCCAGGCCCAGATCTCCACTCCAGGCCCAGATCTCCACCCCAGCGCTCCCTCCCTCGATTCCCTTCCAGGACTCACCAACACACGCCATGCTGACGACCATGAGCGACATGGTGCTGCCGGTGCAGACAGGCGGCTGCGCCCCAGCTCAGTTCAGCAGCACACAGGATGTTGTGAGGGGCTCATGCAGTTTACATGCTGACCACATCATGGGAGGATGACGTATGCAGGCTATTTCTACCTTGCATGAGGCCCAGTGGCTGTTTGGTCAAGAGCGGAACATGGCTTCCTGGAAATTGTTCCAACTAGAATTGACACCTTGCATCCTTCACTATAACCAACTCAAAACACGTCTCAGATCCAATCTCTCATACAGGAGATGACTGAATGCTTGGCTTACATTAAAGACTTTTGATGTATTTTTGTTGTTTTTATCTGAGATTCAAACTCTTCTTCATGTGCTATTTTCCCCAGGCTGTTCTTTGACTTCAGAGTTCAAGCAATCCTCCTGCCCCAGCATTTCTAGCAGCTGGCAGTATGTCACAATCTGCCACACCCAAGTCACAACTTTTAGAACTTTTTTTTTTTTTGAGACGCAATCTCACTTCGTCACCCAGTTTGGAATGCAGTGGTGAGACCTCGGCTCATTGCAGCCTCCACCTCCCAGGTTCACGCAATTCTCGTGCCTCAGCCTCCTAAGTAGCTGGATTTACAGGCACCCACCATCACGCCCACCTAATTTTTGTACTTTTAGTAGAGAGGAGGTTTCTCCATGTTGGCCAGGCTGGTCTTGAACTCCTAACCTCAAGTGATCTGTCTACTTCAGCCTCCCAAAGTGCTGAGATTACAGGTGTGAGCCACCATGCCTGGCCGGGACATTCTATATGTGTGCGTATGTGTGCGTTTATATACATATGGTTATACACACACACACACACACACACCCTAAGCACTCACATATATAGTTGTTTCAAATTTTAAAAAATATAAATTTTGTATTTTTCTTTCTTTTTCTCACATTTGTGTTTCTATGACACCATATACATATTGAATTTTATAGTTCTATTTTATTCTTTTGGATTGCAGTTTAATAGTCCATACATAACTTTATCAACATGTAATTATCCACTCTTTTTATCATGGACATTTGTGTTGTTTCCGGATTTTCTCTTTTATAACTCGGGCCTTGATAATCGTGTTTCTGTGTGATCCCTTGCATACATATGCTGAATTAATTAGACATATTTACCTAGGAATGAAATTATTGGTTTTGGGTGCAAGTTGGTGTTGAGCTTAACCAGGAAGTGCCAAAATATTTCCATCATGACCAAATGTGGCCTGGAAAGTTTTTTGGGGTCAATTTTCCTGTTTCTTCTAAGGAACAAAATTGATGTCACTGATTTTTCTGTCCTGTTTGTCATTTATGAATATACGTACATATGCACGTATATATTTGCTTGCCATTTTATGTTTTTCCTCGACGTTACTTTGGAATTAATTTGCTGATGTGTAGTATTTCTGCAAGCGAAAGTTACCTATTTACTCAGCTCTTCCTTCTTTTCTAACACAGACATTTGAGGCTTATTTTCCTTTAACACTGTTCTATCTGTATCCCCAGTCATTTGCCGAGATGTGTTTTCATTTTTAATTGATACAAAATATTTTCCACCTTTCTTTGAAATGTTTTTCTTCCACTCATTGTTTATTGCTATGTGTGTTTATTAATTTTAAAATATTTGATAATTTCCCCAGCATTTCCTTGTTGTACATTTATAATTTAATTCAACTGTTTCATCTATCATATTACCTATGATTCAGCATTTAAAAATTTATTTTGGTGAATGTTCCAGGGGTGCTAGACAAGTTTGTGGATTAGGAAGATTTGAGGTGGATGTTTTCTAAATGTCAGTTAAGAAAAAAATCATTCAAATGTTTTTCTTTATTTAAAAAAAATAGAGACGGGGTCTCACTATGGTGCCCAGGCTGGTCTCAAACTCCTGGCCTCAAGTGATCCTCCCATTTTGGCCTCCCAAAGTGCTAGGATTATTGAAATTATTAAATGTTTCATATCAACACCCAACCTTATGCACCCGCCGCCTACACAAATGTTTTTCAAGTCTTTCATATGCTTAATAATTTTCTGTGTACTTGTTCTGGAAGTGAGGTGAATGTTGCTATCTCTAGCTGCAATTTGGATGTGATTGATTATGTTTTGAATTATGCCTTTAATTTAATGTGTTTTGAGGTTCCAGCTTTAGGTGTGTAGGCATTTAGGATTATTATGTCTTATTTATGAATTTGCCTCTTTGTCATTATGAAGTACTCCTCTTCATATCTCCATATATCTCTTCTTTGTATGTGCATGGTGAAATATTTCATTCTTTGAGTTAAGAAACTTCTATTGAGGAATACTTTTTATTACAAACATTTACCTATTCTATGTATACAACTGACTAGAAGCATATTTTGCACTGGGCATTATCATGACAATGTAATGTCATTCTTTCAATATTTACATCTTGTGGATTAGTATTTGAAGTGCAGCTTATGTAGACAGCATAAGGTTGGGTGTTGATATGAAACATTTAATAATTGCACACGTATTTGCCTCTTGGGATACTTCCACTTTTTTGAATTTCAAGTTACTAAATGGTATCATTAATCTTTGCTTCAAGAGCTTAACATTTATTGTAGAACAATGCTTCATGTAATAAATTGTGAGACATTTTTAATGGCACCTTTATTGCAGGAAAATGTTTTCCTTTTCAGGTTGAAAGATTCTAGTTTGAAATATTTTCTTGTAGCACTTTAAAAATGTTGGTCCACCTATTTCTTACTTTCATAGTTTTGAATACAAAGTTTGCTGTCATTCTTGTATTTCTTCTTCTGTTTTTTATTTATTTATTTTTGACAGAATATCTTGCCGTCTCACCCAGGCTGGAGTGCAGTGGCATGATCTTGGCTCACTGCAACCTCTGCCTTCCAGGTTTCAGCAATTCCTGCCTCAGCCTCCTGAGTAGCTGGGACTACAGGCATGCGCCACCATACCCAGCCAATTTTTTTTTTTGTATTTTTTTTTTGTAGAGATGAAGTTTTGCCATATTGGCCAGAACTCCTGACCTCAAATGATCCACCTGCTTTGGCCTCCCAAAGTGCTGGGATTACAGGTGTGAGCCACTGTGCTCAGGCTATTTATTCCTTTTTATATAATATGAATTCACATTCATACATACCAGGGGTTAGGATTTCAACAAACGTTTCTGGGGGAGACCACTCAAAACACAGCACTCATCCTTGGTTATTTCCAGCCATGGAGCCTGTATCAATATCCTGGTGAATTATCTAAGCTGTCCACCTACCTACCCCAAATCCTCATGGTCACATAAAAGGCTAGTATAGTATAATAATTTTTCTTTCCCTGCTTATCTACAGTGATGAAGAAACGAATATTCAAAGGGAAAAATCTTAGCTTTAGGTATAGGGTAATTCTTCTTCCTATTTTTAAATAACTTCAACCTTTACTGTAGATTAAAGGTATGCATGCAGGTTTGTTACATAGGCATATTGTGTGACTCTGAGGTTTGTGGTTCCAACAATGCCATCACCCAGGCAATGAGCATAGAATCCAACAGGTGTTTCTTCAGCCTATACCTCCCTACTCCTCCCCCCATCTGTAGTCCTCGGTATCTGTTGTTTCCATCTTTATGTTCATGTGTATTCAATGTTTGGTTCTCAGTTATAAGTGATAACATGTGGTATTTGGTTTTCTGTTCCTGGGTTAGTTCACTTAGGAGATTGACCTCCTGCTACATTCATGTTGCTGCAAAGGACATGATTTCATTATTTTTTATGGCCATGTAATGTTCCATGTGTATATGTAGCACATTTTCTTTAACTAATCCACTGTTGGTGAGCACTTAGGTTGACTGCAAATCTTTGCTATTCTGAATTGCACAGCAATGAATATACTAGTGCATGTGTCTTTTTGACATAGTTAATTACCTTCCTTTTGGTATATACCCAGTAGTGGGATTGCTTGATTGAATAGTAGTTCTATTTTAAGTTATTTGAGAAGTCTCCAAACTGCTTATCACATTGGCTGAACTAGTTAACATTCCCACCAAGAGTGTATAAGTGTTCCCTTTTCTCCACAATCTTGTCAGCATCTGTTATTAAAAAAAACAAAAAACTTTTTAGTAATTGCTTCTGCTTCTCTGATTGTTGTGAGATGGTATCTCACTGTGGTTTTAATTTGCATTTCTCTGATGATTACTGATAATAAGCATTTGTTCATATGTTTTTTGGCCATGTGTACATCTTCTTTTGAGAAGTGTCTGTTCATGTCATACTTAATTGAGGTTTTTTGGTTTTCTGCTTGTTGATTTGTTTACATTCCTTATAGATTCTGGATATTAGAACTTTGTCAGATGCATAGTTTGCAAATATTTTCTCCCAGTCTGTAGGTTATCTGTTTACTCTGTTGATACTTTCGTTTGCTGTGCAGAAGCTCTTCAGTTGAGTTAGGTCCCAATTTCTGTCTTTGTCACAATTGGTTTTGGGGAGTTAGCCATAAATTCTTTGCCAAAGTCTATCTTGAGAAGGATATTTCCTAGGTTTTCTTCTAGAATTTTAATATTTTGAGGTTTTACATTTAAATCTTTAAACTATCTTGGGTTAATTTTTGTATATAGTGAGAGTTAGGGGTCCAGTTCTATTATTTTGCATATGAGTAGTCAGTTATCCCAGAACTATTTATTGAAGAAAGGGTACTTTCCACATTGCTTGTTTTTGTCAATTTTTTCAAAGATGATTGTAGGTATGTAGCCTCATTTCTGGGTTCTCTATTCTGTCTCATTGGTCTATGTGTCTGTTTTTGTAGTAGTATCATGCTGTTTGGGTTACTATAGCATTGTAGTATAGTTTGAAGTTGGGTAATGTGATGCCTGGGCTTTGTTCTTTGTGCTTAGGATTCCTATGTGTATTCAGGCTCTTTTTTTGGTGCCAAATACATTTTAGAATAAATTTTTATAATTTCGTGAAAAATGACATTGCATTTTGAAATGGATAGCATTGAGTCTGCAATTTGTTTTTGGAAGTATGGCGATTTTAACTATTTGTTCTCCTAATTCATGAGCATGGAATATTCTTCCATTTGTTTGTATCATTTCTTATTTCTTTCAGAAGTGTTTTGTAGTTCTCCTTGTAGAGAATTTTCACCTTCTTGGTTAGATGGATTCCTAGGTATTTTATTTTCTTTGTGGCTAGTGTAAATGGAATTGTGTTCTTGATTTAGTTCTCAGCTAGAATGTTAGTGGTGCATAGAAATGTTACTAATTTGTGTACATTTTTTTAATCCCGAAACTTTATTGAATTTGTTTATCAGTTTCAGGAGCCTTCTGACAGAGTCTTTAGGGTTTTCTATGTATAAAATTATTTCATCAGCAAAGAGAGACAGTATCACTACTTCTTTTCCAATTTTAATGCCTTTTATTTCCTTCTCTTGCCTGATTGCTTTGGCTAGGACTTCCAGTACCATGTTGAATTAAAATGGCGGGAGTGGTCATCCTGGTCTTGTTTCGGTTCTCAAGGGGTATGGTTCCAGCTTTTGCCCATCAATATGATGTTGGCTGTGGGTTTGTCATAGATGGCTCTTAATATTTTGAGGTATGTTCCTTTGATGCCTATTGACAGTTTTTATCATGAAGGGATGTTGGATTTTACAGAAAGCTTTTTCTGCATCTATTGAGATGATCATATAGTTTTTGTTTTTAATTATGTTTATGAGGTGAATCACATTCGTTGACTTTGTAGGTTGAACCAACCTTGCATCCCAAAAATAAAGCTTACTTGATCATGTGAATTAACTTTTGATGCACTGACAGATTCAATTTGCTAGCATTTTGTTGAGGATTTTATGTCTATGTTCATTAAGGATATTTAGTTGTAGTTTTCTTTTTTTCATTATGTCTCTGACAGATGTTGGTATCATGGTGATGATGGCTTCATAGAATGAGTTAGGAAGAAGCCCCCACTCCTTGATTTTTTCCAAAAGTTTCAGTAAGATCGGTATCAGTTCTTCTTTGTATGGCTGTTGGATTTTGGCTGTGAATCCATCTGGTCCTGGGCTATTTTTAGTTAGTAGGGTTTTTATTACTGATTAAATTTCTGAACTTGTTATTGGTCTGTTCAGGTTTTCACTTTCTTCCTGGTTGAAATATGATAAATTTTGTGTTACCAGGAATTTATCCATTTCTTCTAGGTTTTCTAGCTTGTTTGTATAGAGGTGTTCATAATAGTCTTTGACGATCTTTTCTATTTCTGTGGGATTGTTCGTAACATTGTTTTGTCAGTTCTATTTGTGTTTATTTGGATCTTTTCTCTTTTTCTTTGTTAATCTAGCTAACAGTCTATGAATTTTGTTTATTTTTTTTCAAAGAAAAACTCTTGGTTTTATTTATCTCTTGTATGGACTTTTTGGTCTCAATTTATTCAGTTCTCTCTGACTTTAGTTATTTCTCATCTTTTGCTGGCCTTGGGTTTGGACTGTTCCTTTTTTTTAATAGTTCCTCTAGATGCAGTGTTAAGTCACTAATTTGAGATCTTTCTAAACTTCTGATGAGGCATGTATTGCTATAAATTTTCCTCTTATCACTGCTTTAACTGCATCCCAAAGGTTTTGGTAAGTTTGTTTCTATTTTTATTAATTTTAAATAATGTTTTGTGATTTCTGCTTTAATTTCATTGTTCACCCAAGAGTTCTCAAGGGGTACAGTTCCAGCTTTTGACCATTCAATATGATGTTGGCTGTGGATTTGTCATAGATGGCTCTTAATATTCATTCAGAAACAAGTTGTTAAATTTCCATGTTTTTCTGTAGTTTTGAGAGATCATCTTGGTATTTTTTTCTATTTTTATTGTGTGCCTTGTTATGATTTTGATTCTTTGAATTTATTGAGACTTGCTTTGTGGCCAGTCTTAGAATATGATATGTTTTTTGTGTGTGCAGATAAGAAGAATCTATATTCTGCAGTTGTTGGGTGGAGTACTCTGTAGATGTCTATGAGGTCCAATTGGTCAAGTGTTGTCTTTAAGACCAGAATTTCTTTGTTAGTTTTCTGTTTTAGTGATTCATCTGACGTTGTTAGTGGGATACTGAAGTCCCTTACTATTATTGTGTGGCTGTCTAACTCTTTTCATAGGTGAAGAATAACTTGTTTTATGAATCGGGGTGCTCCAAATTTGGGTGCATATATATTTAGAATAGTTAAGTCTTCTGTCAAATTGAACCCTTTATCATTTTGTAATGCCCTTCTTTGTCCTTCCTGATTGCTGTTGATTTAAAGTGTGTTTCATGTGATATAAGAATAGGAATGCCTTCCTTTTTTTTGTTTCCTGGTTGCCTAGTAAATATTTCTTCATCCTTTTACTTTGAGCCTGTGGGTGTCATTACATGTGAGATGGGTCTCTTGAAGACAGCAGGCAGTTGGCTCTTGGCTTTTTATCCACGTTGCCACTCTATGCCTTTTATGTGGGGAATTTAGGCCATTTACATTTCTTCTCCTGATATATCCTTTTTATATTTTTATGATTGCCTTTTAAAATATATTGAATGGTTGTAATTCCAGGGAAATGTCTTTCAGAACAGTATTTATTCCCATCTACATGTTTTGGAGAGTGCACTAGGGGACATTGAAGTTTATTTCCTGAAAAGAGTTTAATTTTAAAATGTATTTTATTTAATAACTCAATGATTCAGGGAATGTCTAGGTATTTCAGAGATTGTTTTAGACAGTTTGTTTTCTTGTGATATGTGACCACTTCATCTAAGCTGAATAATGTCTTCATAATGTCCACTTAGAATCTTTTGAATTCTGTAGGATCTGTACTGATGTCATTGTTTCCTTTCTGATATTGGTAATTTTCCTGGGGTAGGATTCTTAGCTCCTCCTGAGGTCCTGCCTCTAAAATTCAGGGAACAATGAGTCAGATTAGTACTCTGATTTCAAAGGGAAAGCTGATCATCTACCATTTTTTGTTTATGTAAATGGACACATTAACATCCCTTGTCTGAACCTTAGTTACCTTGTTTGGAGCATTTTGCTATAAATCTCACTTCTCAGAGTGGTTGTGGGGCTTGATGTGGCTGGGGTATGGGATGGCTTAAACATAATTTATTTCCAGACCAGGTTAAGGCATGAAGGGGTTGGGACTTGTTAGAATCCTGTTGTCGGACTCCACAGTAAGGGTAGACATTTGAGGCACCCAATCAAAAACCTCAGTTGTTCCTAGCACTGAGAAATTTGATAGAATGTTTCTAAAACATTATTCATGGTCTAATGCACAAAAAGTAAAGTGATAGCCCTGGAAGTAGACAGGGAACCATAAGAAAAAAGAGAGAGCAAAGCTCAGTGGTCACCAGTGCCTGGGACCATCAAGGGGTTATTAAGGAGGAAGTTTCCACCTCTGTGGGGAACAGAAGAGGCTCCCTAGGGTCCACACACACAGGGAGTGAGCCAAGACTCTGGGCGAGGCTGGAAGCTCTGGGTCTCCTTCTGTGAGATTTTCTTTTTTTTTTTTGAGATGGAGTCTTGCTCTGCCACCCAGGCTAGAGTGCAACGGCGCGATCTCGGCTCATGGCAACCTCTGCATAAAGTGGTATGTATTTAAGGCATGCATTAGACAAATTACTAAGTATTTACTAGATAAGAAAAAATTATATCTGAATCTTTTCAAATTGCCGTCTTATGCATTATATTCTCTTTTTATAGTGCAATTTCTTAATAGTTAATGCCAGAAGATTTTTTTTTCTTCCTTTCTTTCTTTCTTTTTTTTTTTTTTTTGAGACAGAGTCTCACTCTGTTGCCAGGCTGGAGTGCAGTGGCACGATCTCGGCTCACTGCAACCTCCGTCTCTCGGGTTCATGCCATTCTCCCGCCTCAGCCTCCTGAGAAGCTGGGACTACAGGCACCCTCTACCATGCCCAGCTATTTTTTTTTTTTTTTTTGTATTTTTAGTAGAGACGGGGTTTCACCATGTTCGCCAGGATGATCTCTGTCTCTTGAACTCGTGATCCACCTGCCTTGGCTTCCCAAAGTGCTGGGATTACAGGCATGAGCCACTGCACCTGGTCGCCAAAAGATATTTTTAAAAACCTAAATGCCACTTGAAATGAATAAGACCCTCAATAATTCATGGGATATACATGTGAACTTATGACATATGATGAAATAAGCAGGTTACAAAATTGTAATATATCAAGCAAGGTAGAAAGCCATGGCAGAAAAAGAGACAAGCATTTTCAAGATAAGGAATGAAAGAGGGGAAACAGTACTATTGATTTTACAGATTTTACAAAGATATCTTAGGTGTGTTTTCCTAAATAATAAATGTACCCTCCTTTTGACCTTTATGTAATGAAATAACCATGCACACATTTTCAAATAATACTTCATTTACTTGACTTTATGCTTGAAAATTGAAGTATGGTGCTGTTTGTTATTTTCATTTATGCATTTTACTACCTTGTAATATTCCACTGAGTCTATTTACCACACTATGTTTATTTTTTTCGTAGGTGGACTTTGGTATTTTATAGCTTTGGCTAATAGGAACAGCATTCCTATAACAGTTGTGAGTGTATCATGACACATAAGTAGACATTTATCTCTAGGGTACATAATTAAGTACATAATTAAGAAGGGTCACAGCCATGTGCCTCCTCTTTTTAACTAGATAATTCCAATACACTTCCTTAATTGATTAAAGCAATTTGTACTCTTACTATTAATGTACTAAAATTCTACATGTTCAATATTCTTTCCAAAAAATGATTTTGCTACTTTTTTCTTTTCTTGAGACTGAGTCTTGCTCTATCACCCAGGCTGTAGTGATCTCGGCTCACTGCAACCTCCGCCTCCTGGGTTCATGCGATTCTCGTGCCTTGGCCTCCCAAGTAGCTGGGATTACAGGCAGGCGCCACCATGTCTGGCTAATTTTTGTATTTTTAGTAGAGACAGCGTTTCACCATGTTGGCCAGGCTGGTCTCGAACTCCTGACCTCAGGTGATCCTCCTGCCTCGGCCTCCCAAAGTGTTGGGATTACAGGCATGAGCCACCACACCCGGCCTATTTTTTTCTTTTCCCTCCATTGTGCTATGATTTTTGACATTACAATTTTACTGAAACTACACCATAAGAATGAAGCAGAAATTATTATAACCTTTAAATAAACTTTACAACTGGTTCATACTCGTGTGAACGACAATTCTTTTGACTACTTCCCAACTGTGCATTCAATGGCGTCATATGGGCACCCTGAAGTTGGCCATAAAGGACGTATTTATACCACACTAATCAGCAAATACCATAAATCTGGGGCTTTATATGTTCAGAGTTTTCTTAAGAAAATAATTTTTTCAGAGAGCCAGTTTAACAGAATACCATGAGGCTGAGCCTTCGAGCGTTAGTGTGCTCATTCTGAGAGATGATATTTCTGGACAAAGTACACAGGTATCATCCGATGAAGAGTGAAGGGAATTCAGGGTCCAGAGAGGGTGCTAGGGCATCATTTCAGACTCATATTTCCCTTTTTTTTTTTTTTTTTGGAGATGGAGTCTTGCTCTGTTGCCCAGGCTGGAGTGCAGTGGCAAGATCTTGGCTCACTGCAACCTCCGCCTCCCGGGTTCAAGCTATTCTCCCGCCTCAGCTTCCTGAGCAGCTGGGATTACAGGTGCTCACTGCCACACCCAGCTAATTTTTGTATCTTTTAGTAGAGACAGGGTTTCACCATGTTGGCCAGGTTGGTCTCGAACTTCTGACCTCAAGTGATCCGCCCACCTCAGCCTCCCAAAGTGCTGGGATTACAGGTGTGAGCCACTGTGCCTGGCCTCAGACTCATGTTTCAAAGTCCCAAATACAAATCTGCCCACCTATTCCAGTTATTTAATCCAGATCTATGCTCAGAACTGAAAAGATGGAGAATCAATAGTTCACTTTAGAGAATGCGGTAGTTGGAAACAAAGACAAATGTATTACATGACAGTGGACCAGAGCACGTGATCGCAGGGGTGTGGATGCAAACCCACCATGGGGGACGTGCCTTCACATCACAGAGAGCGAAAGGAAGGGAGGGGCAGACACGGAGGATCCACAACAGCAGGACTGAAAGCACTGCCATTTAATGGAAGTTTAATGGAGGAAGCGTTCTCTACAGGCACCCAGACATCTTCCTGAACCTGACCCAAGCCTCCCCTTCTCGACTTTCTCAGTAGACGGTTTCCCGAATGATGGTCCAGACTTTCTTCCAGAACCTCCTAGGACTATCAGATTCATTGCCAAGGCTCTGGCACTCTGAAGGGTGCATTGTTCTCTCATGTATTTACCTCCTTGCTGCATCTTGGGGACTTCTCTAGCTGTGCCAGTCCTAAAGCAGCAGAATCCCGAGGACCACCAGGACCAAGCCAGCCACAGCCACGCGGATGAGATTCTCCACTGTGTAATCCTGGGGGTGTGAGGCTGGGGATGGTGGACCAAGAGGTCTCAGAGGTCAGGGCAGATCAACATCACCCGGGACCCCTGGATGTCCACCCAGGGCACCCACCTCCCCTTCACAGGACCTGACCCTCTGTGCCAGCCCCATAACCGAGAGCATCTCCTTACACACCAGTCTTGGAGTCTGTCTTGTTTTGCGATGGGCTGAGGGTCTCAGCTGCTCCTGAGAATCAACCAAAAAAGGGGGAGGTGTGTGAGGAGTTGAAGAGACTTAAGCCAACATGTCCCTCAGTTGCTGCATTCCTTTGTGTCTACACTTCTCCTAACTGCTCTGTAGTTGTGTGATAGAACCTTTCCCTGCCGTGGCAGAGGTACATTCGCATACATACATACATATATGCATAGGTGTAAATATGTGTGTATACATAATATGTGTTATGCATATGTGTATACATAATATGTATTATGCATATGTGTATAGATAATATGTATTATGCATATGTGTATGCATAATATGTATTATAAGATATAGTGTGAGTATATATAAATATATAATATATAAGATATATAATAGTGTGTGTATACATATAAATATATAATAAGATATGTAATAGTGTGTGCATATATAAATATATAATATATAATAAGATATATAATAGTGTGTATATATAAATATATAATACATAATATATTATAAGATATATAATAGTATGTATATATAAATATATAATACATAATATATAAGATATATAATAGTGTGTGTATATATAAATATATAATACATTATATATTATAAGATATATAATAGTATATATAAATATATAGTACATAATATATAATAAGATATATAATAGTGTGTGTATACATATAAATATATAATAAGATATGTAATAGTGTGTGCATATATAAATATATAATATATAATAAGATATATAATAGTGTATATATATAAATATATAATACATAATATATTATAAGATATATAATAGTATGTATATATAAATATATAATACATAATATATAAGATATATAATAGTGTGTGTATATATAAATATATAATACATTATATATTATAAGATATATAATAGTATATATAAATATATAGTACATAATATATAATAAGATATATAATAGTGTGTGTATACATATAAATATATAATAAGATATGTAATAGTGTGTGCATATATAAATATATAATATATAATAAGATATATAATAGTGTATATATATAAATATATAATACATAATATATTATAAGATATATAATAGTATGTATATATAAATATATAATACATAATATATAAGATATATAATAGTGTGTGTATATATAAATATATAATACATTATATATTATAAGATATATAATAGTATATATAAATATATAATACATAATATATAATAAGATATATAATAGTGTGTGTATATATAAATATATAATACATAATATATATTATAAGATATAATAATGTGTGGGTAATATAAATATATAATACATAATATATAAGATATATAATAGTGCATATATAAATATATAATACATAATATATATTATAAGATATAATAATGTGTGGGTATATATAAATATATAATACATAATATATATTATAAGATATAATAATGTGTGGGTATATATAAATATATAATACATAATATATAAGATATATAATAGTGTATATATAAATATATAATACATAATATATATTATAAGATATATAATAGTGTGTGAGTATATATAAACACATACATATATATTTGAAGTGAGAAGAGTATTATATAATTTAGAAACAAACAAGTTTGTCCTCCATTTTCTTGTGGTTAATGTAATTATTATCAATAAATCAGAAGAGATCATTTCGGAAAGGATTGAAAGGGAGTGTGTCTGTGGTAAGTTAATAGGAACTAAAATTAGCATACCCAAACCAATAGCTTTCTCATCCATACGTAACTAATTTTAGAAAATAGAAAGGAATCAAAGACTTTCAAATTATTCAAGTAGTAAAACAATGCTTAAAATTCACAATGTCCACAATTTTTATGAATACAACTTCAAGCATCTGCTAACTGTATAAAGTTTAATTTTAAATGTATTGGATACAAAGACATTATTAATGAGAAGTTATTCTCCATCATGAATGCACATATTTAATTTAATCCCAAAGAAAATCAGAGCACAGTTATTTTACATCATAACGCTACCTAACAAATTAAATGTGTAAATTATAAATGCCAGCATTGCTTTGAAATCTTCAGAAACAGAAAGAGAAACTAGATATGTGGACATAAAAAATAAAGGACAGAAAGGAATTGCACACGAGGTTTGCTGTTGAATAATTTGCCTGCATTGCTGCAGTGAGCAGGTGCATGATCTCCCCTTCGTCTCAGGTATGCACTGAGTATTTTGGGGCCGCCAGGGGAGCCCAGGTGGGGAGTGGGTGGGGCCTCCATCTTCTACCCTCAGCCTAAGCATGATTCCTCCAAGGTTTCTCCATATCTCATTTCAGCCCTCCCTGGCCTTTAGCCCCATCTGAGGTCTCTGGGGTGGGAGCCCAGGATTAGGAGGTCCCTGACTATTTCCACCCTCTCATGGGCTGGGCCCTCCCCTGCCGACCCTCCCCCTTTACTCCCCTCTTTCCTTAGCGTCCTGAGCTCTCCTGGGGGCAGGGCCTGAGCTGAGGTTTGAGCTCAGAGAGGACAGGGTCAGCGGCCTCACCTGAGACCACGAGCTCCAGGGGGTCACTGGGGTGAGACAGCAGGTAGGGGAAGAATCTGCGTGAGCTGTAGCACCTGTAGGTCCCCGCGTGGGCTGAGGTCACAGGACTCATGGGGAATTCAGCCTGGTGCTGCTGAGCTTGGTGCTCTGATCTCAGACGCAGTGGGTGATGGGCTGCCCCCTCCTTGGTCAGAAGGAAAGTGTCCAACTGCTCCCGTGACTGACACAGCAGGGTCACGTTCTCTCCTGAGGCCACCGTGGGGCCCGGCTGCACCGAGAGGGAGGGTCTGCCACGGATCTGTCCTGGAGAGAAGAAGGATGGGTGAGGGGCTGCCCCACCTCGTTCTGAGCTGACACCTCCCCAGGCCTCTCCCTGGGACCCTCAGTGTCTCTGTCTCTGTTTTCTCTGAGTCTCCCCCTCCCCGCCCATCCCCTGTCTCTGTCTGTCTCTCCGTCCCTTAGGACCCCCACCCCTCATCCCGGCCATCACCACCTGGGCTCCCCCAGCAGGGCCTGTGCGGAGCCTGGGTCCCTGACTGAACCTGCTGGGCTCCTCACCTGCGATCAGGATGCTCAGGGGGTCACTGGGGGCCGACCACTCGGAGGAGAGGTTGTGTGCACCGTAGCATCTGTACTGGCCCCCGTGGGAGACCCTCACAGGGCCCAGGGTGAAGTTGGCCTGGGAGAGCCCAGCCTGGGGCTGCCGGCCAGAGCCCTGGACGAGGTCATGTCCCCCCTCCTTGTACAGAGTGAATTTGTCATAGCCGACATCAGAGCCAC
Organism: Homo sapiens; assembly: GCF_000001405.40. Lineage (NCBI taxonomy): Eukaryota > Metazoa > Chordata > Mammalia > Primates > Hominidae > Homo > Homo sapiens. Next base: position 11,253 of record NW_016107304.1, on the reverse strand, counting down.
ACTGGAGGGTCAGATTCTCCCCAGGGGCCACGACAGGGCCCTGCAGGGTCAGGAGGGAGGGCTTCCTAGACACGCCTGGAGGGAAAGAAGAGTCGGGACTAGGAGGGCTGGTTCCTCCCACACCCCTTCCTTCTCCCCTCCTGGCCCTGCAGGTCTCACTGTCTCTCACACTCAGTGTCTCTGGGCTCAGGAGTCCCAAACTTCCCTTGTTCCACCCTCCTACATGGGGCTCCGTGAGAGTAAGTTCTCAAAAATAAATAGGGCAAGGAGGAAGACATCCATACCTAAGACCAGGATCTCCATGGTATCACTGGGTTCCGACCACACCCAGGGGAAGTTCGTGTAATGCCCATAGCATCTGAACATCCACCGGTGACTGGCAGCCACACGGCCCACAGGGAACAGGGCCAGGGACAAGGGACAGCCCCTTGGAGAGTTCCTGTGAGTCCAGCATCCAGGAGAGCTTGTTTTCTCCTTCCTCAATCAAAATGAACCTGTGAAATCCCACCCTTGAGCTACACTGGATGGTCACGTTCTCTCCTGAGGTCACCACAGGGCTCGGCAGGGCTGAGAGAGTGGGTTTTCTGTGGGCTCCTAGGAGAGAAGGAGACACTGTCTTAAATGGGGCTCACGCGTCCCACATCATCCCCCAGGGCTGAGTTATTAGAACGGAGATGCCCTTGAGAGCTGACCCCCTTCCTGCAGGCAGAGCCTGGGGCTGGGACCCCTGAGTGTCCTCTTACCTGTCACCACCAGCTCCAGGGGCTCGCTGCGCTCTGACCAGCCTGCAGGGCTGAGATAGTGACAGTGGTATCTCCCTGCATGGTGCTCTCTCATGGATGGGATGAAGAAGTTGGTCTTGTTCCTGGGCTCTGGTGGGCTCTGTTGGTACCAGGTCATGGGGTTTCCTTCCTTGGTGAGATAGTAACCCTGGGTATCCAGGGTCCCCTGGCACCAGAGGGTCATGGGGCTCTCCCAGGTAATCACAGAGCCTGGCTCAGCCCAGAGGCTGGGTTTGGGGAGGGTCCCTGGAAGAAACCACAGGCTGGGGTCCACAGACCTCCCCCGCTCCTCATTCCCAGCTCAGGTCACAGACCCTCTTGATTTTCTCACCCTCAGTTCAGAAGCCCCTGAGATGAGAGTCCAGGTGCTGAGTGTGAGGTCAGGCATGGGAGGTTAGCAGAGACTCACCTGCAAGTGCTTGGGCTTTCTGGCCCAGACTCAGCCATGGAGAAGAGTTTCCTGTGGGGGATTTGGAACACAGAGGTGTGGCTGCTTCCCTTCCTGTTGGAGCACCAGTAGCCACTGGAGCCCTGAGGCTCTCTGGTGAACAAGGCTGCTGTGGGACCCTCCCCACCTCAGCCCAGTGCCCCTCCTGTCCCTCGTCTCTCCACCACTGACTGAGGCACAGAAGAACAGTGAGGATGGACACCATGATGCCTGCTCTGCGTGCTCCAGCTGTGGGACAGGTGACCACATGGCCCTCCATGACAGACAGATGCACGGATGTGGTTAAGTCAGAGCCTGCTGCCGCCTGCCTGGGTCCCCACAGCTGTGAACCCACAGGAAGTGGACAGCCCCTTGCTGGGCCTGTCTCTTATTCCCCCCCCAGTGCAGGGGCTCAGGAGGACCCAGGCCCTCTGCACACATCTCAGCCCAGACCTGAGGTGTCCCCTGATTGCCAGGGATCCTTTGTCTGAAAACCTGCCCGTGGAGGGTGGACCCAACATCATATCTATGTCAGCTCCCAACTTAGCTGGGTCTAAACTGAAAACACAGCCCTTATTTTCTCAGAGCCTCCACTCATGACATCGGCTTTCTTTTTCCCCACTGATGCAAAGACAAATATTTCCCAGCAGAAAGTCATCCTGATCTGGAGAGACCCATTTCCTGCGTTCAGTAAATAAAGTCAGTTTCATTAGGGGAGGCTCTGGGAAAATAAGGGGATGCAGACTAGCAGAAGATGAACATTTAGCTACTTGTTTCTCAATTAATTGATTTATTACCAAAGAGAGAGAAGTGGAAACATGAGAATAGGGACCATGACTAGAATGTGGTTGAGGGAATGGTTTCTATCTTATTCCCTGGCAGAGAACTAAGGGATAAGAATGAGAAAGCTGGCTGGGTGCAGTGGCTTACACCTGTAATCCCAGCACTTTGGGAGGCCGAGGCAGGAAGATCACAAGGTCAGGAGTTCAAGACCAGCCTGACCAACATGGTGAAACCCCTGTCTCTACTAAAAATACAAAAACTAGCTGGGTGTGCTGGCATGCGCCTGTAATCCCAGCTACTAGGGAGGCTGAGGTGGGAGAATCGCTTGAACCTGGGAGGTGGAGCTTGCAGTGAGCCGAGATCGCGCCACTGCACTCCAGCCTGGGCAACAAAGCCGGACTGTCTCAAAAAAAAAAAAAAAAAAAAAAAAAAAGAAAGAGAGAAAACCCAGCAGTGAGAGGTAGTTGTGAGAACACACTAAAGAGGAAAGATAATCCAGGGCTGGGAGTGGTGGCTCATGCCTGTAATTCCAGCACTTTGGGAGGCTGAGGCTGGCAGATCACAAGGTCAGGAGTTCGAGACCAGCCTGACCAACATGGTGAAACCCTGTGTCTACTAAAAATGCAAAAATTAGCTGGGTGTGGTGGTGGGTGCCTGTAATCCCAGCTACTCAGGAGGCTGAGGTGGGAGAATCGCTTGAACCCAGGAGACGGAGGTTGCAGTGAGCTGAGATTGCACCACTGCACTCCAGCATAGGCAACAAAGCCAGACTCTGCCAAAAACAAAAACAAAAACAAAAACAAAAACAAAAAACAAGAAAGCTCAGTGAGAGGTGGTTGTGAGAACACACTAAAGAGGAAAGATCATTCAGGGCTGGGAGTGGTGACTCACGCCTGTAATCCCAGCACTTTGGGGGGCCACAGGCGGGTGGATTACCTGAGGGCAGGAGTTCAAGACCAGTCTGGCCAACATGGTGAAACCTCGTCTCTACTAAAAATACAAAAACTAGCTGGGTGTGATGGCGGGTGCCTGTAATCCCAGCTACTTGAGAGGCTGAGTCAGGAGAATCTCTTGAACCCAGGAGGCAGAGGTTGCAGTGAGCTGGGATCGTGCCACTGTACTCTAGCCTGGGTAACAGAGCAAGGCTCTGTCTCAAAAAAATAAAAATTAGAAAGAAAAAAGGAGAAGGAGAAGAGGAAGGAGACAGAAAGGAGAGAAACATCCCTGAGGTGGAACATTACATGCAACATGGAGTAGGCAGGGAATCCGATAGAGCACTGAAACTCTCGCTGGGTACGGTGGCTAACATCTGTACTCCCAGCACTTTGGGTGGCCGAGGTGGATGGATCACCTGAGGTCAGGAGTTTAAGACCAGCCTGACCAACATGGTGAAACCCCATCTCTACTAAAAATACAAAAGGCTGGGTGTGGTGGCTCACGCCTGTAATCCCAACACTTTGGCAGTCTGATACAGGCGGATCACATGAGATCAGGAGTTTGAGACCAGCCTGGCCAAGATGGCAAAACCTCATCTCTACTAAAAATACAAACATTACCTGGCTGTGGTGGCAGTCGCCTGTAATCCCAGCTATGCAGGAGGCTGAGGCAGGAGAATCGCTTGAACCTGAGAGGTGGAGGTTGCAGTGAGTCAAGATCGTGCCATTGCACTCCAGCCTGGCCAATAGGAGCAAAACTCCATGTGAAAATAAAATAAAATAAAATAAAATATAATAAAATAAAATAATAAATCAAAAAAGGACTGGACATCTCCTGTGGGTTGTCAGTGAATGGAACTAAGCAAGCCACCGCTCTTTCCCTTTTGTCCCGCAAGTGTCTTTCTTGGCCTCCAGGAAGTGAGTTCCATCATGTCAGACCCTATGTTTGTTCCTGCTGGGTTCACTGAGGCTCCTCCCTTTCCACCTGTGGCTCCCCATGGGTTCCCAGTCCCCAGCCAGTGTTGTGAATCGAGCCAGGAAGACCAGCCCTATCACACCCCTCCTGATGGAATTCCCACAGTGTCATCCTGGAGAACAGGGGCTGGGGGCTGGGGTAGGATCAGAGACCTTTTCATGTGGGCCAGGCCCCTCCCTCCACAGGAGCTCTGACACGAAGCTCATCACCATTCATTTCACCCTGACGATATTCTTCCTGCCCAGACACCCCCGTTCTCCCTATGTCATCATGGGCACCTCAGTGAAATCCATGGTTGAGGGTCTCTGTCACTTACTCTGCCCTCTTCTTGGAAAATTTCCTTGGATCCTTCCAGAGCCCTTCCTGAGTGTGCTGCAGGGTCTCTGCCACATGACACACTCTCAGGAACCCTCATCCTCCCCTTAATCTACTGCGCCCACATAGCCAGGTGCAGGCTCCGTTTCTTCATCTTCCCTTCCCCACAGGCCCCGATGGAGAGTGGATTAGACTCGCTCCTGAGTAGGGACTCAGGTCACTCTGACCCCTTCCTCCCTGTGGACGAGGCCTCTGTCCCAGAGCTTTGGAGGCTGAAGGGCCTTGTGGATTCCCGCACTGGCCACAGTCTCCGATGCAGATGGGGAACTGGGGACCTGGGAGGGGTTGCCTAGCCCAAGGCCACATAGCTGGGCGGTGGCACAGCCTTCACTCACACAGGGACATTCCATCTTCCCAGGGACTTCACACTGGAGGCTAAGAGCCCCACTTTGCACACCACATTCAGGGGTAGATTCTGTGTGTGACTAACAAGTTCTCTTAGGGTTCCGAGGTAACAGGACAGCAAATGGATGAGTGAGAGTTTCCCTCACCCCACTGAAGTAGGACCATTCTCTGTGGAGGGTTGGTCCCCTGACTTCCTCTACTCTGTCATCTCCCTAGTGACTGATAGGGGTCCTGGGGTCTCTTCCCTGGAATCCCATGAGGGACAATTCCTTTCCTGAAGGGAAGGTATAGAGAGGACTAGCAGGTGCCTGGTGATGGAAAGTCCCCATAATCAAGAGACATTGCCTCCCCCCCCCGGCATGATAAATATCTGGGTTTCCAAATGGGAAATCTGTCTGTGATGAGAGCTCAGGAGGGGCTTCTGGAAGATGGAAAAGGGCTAGAGGCTGAGGCCACTGCTTATCTCCCCACACTGTATCTGGCTTCACCTCCTGTGTTTGTCCTGACCTCTTCCTTCACTCACCTGGATAAGTAGGACCCCAAAGTGGGCCTCCAGACAGGAAGCAGTGGAGAGTGTGGAGCTGCCCTGTCTACCACCCTACACCCTGACACCACTGTCATACTCAACCTCTCTTTTCCTCTTTGTGTTTCTCATTGCTTCATTTTGTCTGGAATCCCTAAGATTCCCATGTCTCCAGCAGGCTGTCCCTCAGACGTGGCTATATGATTTAGTGTTTCACAGGGCATGCAGCAGGCATGGGCTACCCCCAGTAACAGTGGTCATCTAGGGCTGATCACTCACAGGCAGAGCCATCGACAGAGAGCTGCAGCATCTAGAGGTCCCATCACCAGCCCCAAGACCCAGAGAGAAGTTGGCCTGAATGCCCCACTCTGTCTCTGCACCCCAGTGAGCCAGTGTCCAGGGGCCTTACCTTCCTCGTTAGAAGGCACAGGTCAAATGAGCTTCCAGAGCTGCAGAGCAAAGTCACATTCTCTCCATCATTACTTACTGCAGGGCACAGTTGAGCTGAGAAGGAAGGTCTCTTGTAGACGCCTGGGGAAAAAAATAGTCCTTGACTGTCGAGCACAAGCCTTACCCAGCCTATCCTCAGGGCATGAAAAAGGCATTCTCTCCACCTGTTCTGGGGAGCACACTCTGTTACCCACTCGTGCCTCTCTCCATCTCAGTTCTAGCTCTACAAGCTGGCTCATCATGTGTGTGTTTTCCTGTCTGTCTTTGCTCAGCTTTTCCTTGAATCTCTTGCTTTTTGCCGGTGCGTGTGTGGCTTTCTGCCCTTAGAACCATATGAGATTTAGGGTTCTCCTGGCACATAGAACTGTTTACTTTGAGGACCCTCAGAAAACATAGCCCTGGGCTAAGGCTCCCTGTCCTGGAACTAGAAGGTTATGGGTGTCACCATTTCCCAACAGCATGTCTGAAAGTGCCAGAATCTTCAAAGAGTCTGCAACATGTTTGTAGGATCTTTATAGGGTCTGATATTGCAGGGACCAACCAAAGTGCCCTCACACCCCAAGACGCTGGAAGTGACCCCTTGCTGAAAGTGGTTGGAAGTTTCACATAGAAGTTTGAGTTAAGCCACATTGCTGAGCAATGCCTCAGCATCCCAGTCTTCATCCAGACCTTCCAGGAGCCTGGCTGGAGGGGGTGTCTCTGGTGTGTCACTGAGCCTTATAGCAGAGGAAGGGGGCTATGGTGGAAACTACCTCCAAGATACCACTCAGTCCTAAGCTGGGGAACAAGCTGAGCTTGGATTCTGGTAGTGAATGAACCGGGAAACATTTATTTGAAGGGTTCTAAGAGTAGCATCGTGTGGGTGCGTTAATTGTATGTGAAGGGGAAGATCCTGAGAAAACAAGAGCTGCTCCACTCTGTGCCTGGGTTTACCAGAGGGACCGATGAGGTCCTCACAAGACCCAGGAATCCCACCGGGGGAAGGAGGCTTAGGGAGATGTGTTTAAGACTGTTAAGTGAGTCACAGACAGAAGCAGATCAAGCCATCCCACCACCTAGGTTTGTGGTTTTGTTTCTCCTAAACTTCCTTTCTGTAAGTAGCAGAACCTTCTCATCACCATCCTTCAAAACCTCTGCATTGTTTGAGCTCCTTGTATTTTCTGGAGATTAATCTCTTGCTTGCAAATATTCTTTCCCATTCTGTAGGTGGTCTCTTCACTCTGCTGTTTGTTTCCTTGATTGTGCAGAAGGTTTGCAGTTTGCTATGATCTCATTTGCCTATTTTTGCTTTTGCTGCCTGAGCTTTTGAGGGTTTTTTTTTTTTGTTTTTTTTTTTGAGACGGAGTCTCGCTCTGTCACCCAGGCTGGAGTTCAGTGGCATGATCTCAGCTCATTGCAACCTCCGCCTCCCGGGTTCAAGTGATTCTCCTGCCTCAGCCTCCCTAGTAGCTAGGACTACAGGCGAGTGCCACCACACCCGGCTAATTTTTGTATTTTTAGTAGAGGCAGGGTTTCACCACGTTTGGCCAGGCTGGTCTCAAACTCCTGACTTCAAGTGATCCACCCACCTTGGCCTCCCAAAGTGCTGGGATTACAGGCGTGAGCCACTGCGCCCGGCGTTGTATTGGATTTTTAATTCAGCCCTATTTTCTCCGACATTTGATATTGGCATTTTTGTCTTTTTTGGATATGCTAGGATCATGGTGTCATAATTTAATTTTAATTTTTATTTTTATTTTAAGTTCCGGGGTACATGTGCAGAATGTGTGGGCTTATTGCATAGGTCAATGTGCGCCATGGTGGTTTCCTGCACCTGTCAACCCATCACCTAGGTATTAAGCCCAGCATACATTAGCTATTTTTCCTAATGCTCTCCCTACCCCTACCCCACCCCCCCCCCGACAGGCCCCAGTGTGTGTTGTTCCCCTCCCTGTGTTCACGCATTCTCATTGTTCAGCACCCACTTGTAAGTGAGAACATGCAGCGTTTGATTTCCTGTTCCTGTGTTAGTTTCCTGAGGATAATGGTTTCCAGCTCCATCCATGTCCCTGCAAAGGACATGATCTTGTTTCTTTTTATGGCTTCATAGTATTCCGTGGTGTATATGTCTCACATTTTCTTTATCCAGTCTATCATTGATGGGCATTTGGGTTGATTCTATGTCTTTGCTATTGTGAATAGTGCTGCGATGAACACATGTGTGCATGTATCTTTGCAATAGAATGATTTATATTCCTTTGGGTATACGCGCAGTAATGGGACTGCTTTTACCTGTGCCAAAATACTGAAGTAGAAATGATTATTCACTCTAAAATGGAAGGTAATAAGATGTATACGTGAGCTATCAGATGCCTGGTGCTTATGAGTGAAGACAAGTCTGTCCAACGCTTCCCAACCCTGCATTCAGGGATGTCTCGTTGGCATCTTGATTATGGCCATGAAAAAAGAATTTACGTCAAGGAAATTGGTAAATGCCACTAATCATAGCATTTCAAAAAATGTCTTTTTCAGAATTAGCATACCATTGGGTCGTGACTTCAAATGCCAGTGTGTTGATTCCAGGTGGTGATATTTCAGGAGAAACTACACAGATAGCATCTGATAAGGAGGGAAGAGCTCATAGGGTCCACACAGGAGGTGAGGGCATCACGGTGCATTTATCTTTTCCTGGTCGGACTCTGATCTTCTCCCGTTGAATTAGTTCCTAAACCAGGTGCGGAACTCTGAACTGAAGACATGAAGACCCAGTAAAGTACACCAGGAAGTGTGGCAATGAGAAATGAAGAGGACTGTGTGACACGCCATGGACCAGAGCATGCAGGTGTGCAGAGGTGTGGACCCAACGCTGCCATGTGGGATGGAGCCTCATGTCTAAGTGTGGGAAAAGAGGCAGATCCAACCAAGGAAAGTCAACATTAATGGAGAGGAAAGGTATCACATTTTAATGGTTCTCCATGGATCACCCCAGAAAATGTCCCTGCACTCGGACATTGATTCCTTCCTCTGGAAATGACCAGCAGACAGTCCAGATAGCATCGGCCCTAGATTTTCTTCCAGAACCTCCTGGGATCATCAGATCTGTTCCTGAGGCTTCACGACTCTATAAAGTACATTATCCTCTCTGCTGTTCACCTCCCGGCTGCATCTTGGGAAGCTTCTCTGGCTGTGCCAAGCCTCAAATGACAGAATCCCGAGGACCACCAGGATCAAGCCAGCCACGCCCATGTGGATGAGATTCTCCACTGCGTAATCCTGAAGGTGTGAGGCTGGGGATGGTGGACAAAGAGGTCACAGAGGTCAGGGTGGATCAGATTGTCCACCCAGGGCACCCACCTCCCCTTCACAGGACCCAACCCTCAGTGCCAGCCCCATCACTGAGAGTATCTCCTCACATACCAGTCTCAGAGTCAGACTTGTTTTGTGATGGGCTGAGGGTATCAGCTGCTCCAGAGAATCAAAACAGAGAAAAAGAGACCTGAGCCCAGCCTCTCACCTGGGCTCTGCAATTTTTTTTTTATTACTTAATGTCTCATGATGTGACTTTTACAGAATTTCTAAAAAAAAAAAAAAAAAACCTCTTCCTCCGCTAGCAGGATTCCCTCTAGTCTCCTCATTGAACGATTTCAGTTTTCCTGTGTTCTATGGATTTAAACATTGCTCCTGAGTCATCTGGGAGAGAGTTTTCCTGCATCCTGAGAGCTCAGGATCTGCAAGGAAAGTGGTCCCCAGTACAGAGGTCACTAAGGCCTGTGTGCTCTCTGTGCAGCCTGGGACACAGGAGAACATGAGCCAACTCCCCCGGAGATGAGAGTTTCACGGATCCACCAGCTGAGGACCCAGGCTCCGTGGATGAGGGTTAGTCATCAGGGGAGCCTCAATGTCAGAAGCACAAAGGGGTGAAATTCTGGGGCTGCCTCCCCTTCATGCCCTCAGCCACTTCACCTGGAGTTTCATTGTCCATTTAATCTCTAGGTAGCTAATTATTCGTATAGGCAGCAACAGGTAGAATGTGATACACACACAGAAAAACACAAACACAAATATATATCTGTTTTATATATATAGTGGGCCTTAAAAACTATCTCTGCCTTCTTGAAGTGTGGGTTCACCTGGAGACAAACAGCAAACATATAGAAACACAGCAGTGGAAATTTACTAGTCGTAGCAATGGTTTTAGATATATTGGTAGAGACCTATATTTATGTGTGAATATATATTATTTGTATAGATATACGGATAACTAGGTTTCAATGTCACGTAAGATGTTGGTGTGACCACACACGCGCACACACACACACACACGTATATGCAGAGAGTGGAAGAGAGAGAGAAGGAATTCAGCCGCATGGTGTAGGTTGGTTAATTACTTGACATAAATGAGAAGCAGGCAGGACTGGGCTGAGCTGTGTCGTCAGTGAAGGTCACACTTGGAGGTGACATTGAAGCTGATTCCTCAATAGGAAAAAGGGCCAGGAAGGAGGCGTGTGGAGACCCAGACAGGGAGCAACAGAGGCTCCAGAAAGAGCAGGTCCCAGAAAGGTCTCAGCCTGTTCTTCAGAAAGGAATGGCCGCTTGTCTACAGGGTGGAGGAGGAGGCAGAGGAGGAGGGGAGATGAGCTTCGGGGCCTTGGTGGATTGAGAATAGGCCAGGATGAACCGGCCAGGAAAGAGCGGCCCCAATATCTCTCTCTCTGTCTCTCTGTCTCTGTCTCTGCCTCTCTCTCCCTCCCTCTGAGGTCTGGAAAGTGCTGTAGGGTTTCAAGGAGTGGTACCAGTCATTTGACTTTTTCTGAAAAGATAAGCCCTACCCCCTCCATAGCAAATGTCCAGAACGAAGGAAGTCCACATTTCTACCTGAAGTTTACAAAACCTCAGGGAGCACGTGAGATCAGGGCTATTACGAAACCGGGTGAGAATAAAAATAGGTGATGCTGCAAATCTACTTTCACCAGCTTGGACAAAAAGGCCAATATGAGATTTTAAAAACCCAAATAAAAAATGTCAACGGCGCAGAAGAGGAGCGGTGCACATTCCCTGAGCTGCTGCGGGAGCACGTGCAAGTCCCTGTGAGGCTCAGGTGTGCGCTGAGTGCTGGGGAGGCTGCAGGGGAAAGCAGGAAGTGGGGCGGGGTGGGGGGGGGTCGGGGGTGGATGCAGGTGGCACCGGCAGCCTGGATGCTTCTCTCTCCAGGAGGGCGTCTGTTGGGGACTGGGACACAGAGGCTCTGATTCTGAGGTGGAGACACCAGGATGGGAGCAGGTGGGGCCTCCGTCTTCCACCCTCAGTCTAATCTCAACTCCTTTGAGGTTCACCCCCCGTCTCCTCCCAGCCCTCCCTGCACTTTACTCTACTGAGACTTCAGGGGTGGGAGCCAGGGGTGGGAGGTCCCTGTCTATTTCCATCTTCCCATGGGCTGGACCCTCCCCTGCGGACCCTCTCCCTTCACTCCCCTCTTTCCTTAGTGTCCAGAGCTCTGCTGGGGGCAGGGCCTGAGCTGAGCCTTTGAGCTCAGAGAGGACAGGGTCAGCGCCCTCACCTGAGACCACGAGCTCCACGGGGCCACTGGGGTGAGACAGCAGGTAGGGGTCGGAGCTGAGTGAGCCGTAGCACCTGTAGGTCCCCGTGTGGGCTGAGGTCACAGGACTCATGGGGAATTC